>NC_000009.12:61053887-61231966 GCF_000001405.40 Homo sapiens | reverse complement strand
GAATTCAATGCAGTTATTTTGTTTATAACATTTTTCAAAAGCTACGGTTTTCCCTGGGTGTGTATGGGCACAATGCCATTGCGATAACACTCATCTTTTGCAGAGTGCTGAAAGAGTGAGCCAGGACAGCCTTTCGACATTGAACAAGGCAATTCCCAATCTCTTGGTGGGTGAATGGAGGAAGAGTGATATCCTGATTGATGCCTCCACAATTACTTAAAAATATATGGACACTCTAGAAAATTACTCTTTTTGGACCATCCCCTCAGGTCCCTTAAATATCTGTGTCCCTTAAATATCTGTGTCCCTTTACTGAGCAGCAATTTGGGTCAGAAAAAATGGGCTCTGAGGATGCTCAGAAACAAAAGTGTTTTGGGGAGTAAGATATGGTTCTCAAGGCCTGGAGAGGCAAACCATGTCCAGAAAAGGTCCCTGATGATAGAACTCCCTGAGTATTCTTGCAGAAATGAATATCCACCAGGCTTCTTCTTTTTTTTTTTTTTTTTTTTTTTTGAGATGGAGTCTGTCTCTGTCGCCCAGGCTGGCGTGCAATGGTGCGATCTTGGCTCAATGCAAGCTCCGCCTCCCAGGTTCACGCTATTCTCCTGCCTCAGCCTCCCAAGTAGCTGGGACTACAGGTGCCTGCCACCATGCCCGGCTAATTTTTTTTGTATTTTTCGTAGAGACGGGGTTTCACCGTGTTAGCCAGGTTGGTCTCGATCTCCTGACCTCGTGATCCACCCGCCTTGGCCTCCCAAAGTGCTGGGATTACAGGCGTGAGCCACCACGCCCGGCCCCTTGTTTTTCAATCACAAGATATGAGTCATTGCAGGAAACAAATAAAATGGAACCAACACAGAGAAAGGTAGAGATGGAAGAGGTAAGACTAAATTCTAGAGATGCTGCTTATGCCCTAAGGTCTGTCCTTTAGCATTTTGTAACATGAGTTAAAGTACGTTTGAGTTGTGTCTTTGTCATTTGCATCCAACAGAGCCCTGGCTGTGTTCACTGAATGGATCTAGTCTCTGAAAATTCACCGACATTTTTGGCTTGGCGCTGTGGCTCATGCCTGTAATCCCAGCACTTTGGGAGGTTGAGACGGGAAGATTACGAGGTCAAGAGATCAAGACTATCCTGGGCAACATGATGAAACGCTGTCTCTACTAAAAACACAAAAAATTAGCTGGGTGTGGTGGTGCGAGCCTGTAGTCCCAGCTACTCAGGAGGCTGAAGCAGGAGGATTGCTTGAACCCAGGAGGCGGCGGTTGCAGTGAGCCAAGGTGGCGCCACCGCTCTCCAGCCTGGCAACAGAGCGTGACTCCGTCTCAAAAAAAGAAAAAAAAAAAATTTCAGGGATATTTATGTAGTGACCTGTTATTTAATTTTTCAATAATATAAATCTGTTTCAAGAAAAAGAAATTTTAAATAAACTCTTATGATTTTCTTTCTCCTGAAAATTATTCCAGAACTTAAAAAAAAGAAGAAACAAAACAGAGTAAGTACATTAGCTTTATTCAACATAGCATCTTGTCTAGTAGTAAACTACTAAAAACAGTCTCCTGAGTGGAAAAAATATAAATTTTTGTCTATAGCATCAGCGTTGTCCTGCATGTTCTCATTATTTTCTCCAAATAAATTGGCTCAATATGCTGCTAAGTATTACCATTTATGTTTATTTTGAAGTTCTATATCTTGTCTTTCCTGTTTCATCTGTAAACAGGCAATTATTGCCTCAGTGTGTATTCTGATACATTTTCTCTCTAAATCTATTGTCCAACATCTTGCATATAAAATCTGGCTTTTCTCTCATATATCAAAATCACAGGTCACATAGTCTCAGTGCCAAGAGTTATAAGAACAACTGCTTTATTTCACTCCTATCTCTGTGAATACAAAACTTCAATCTCTAAAGTATTTTCTATCTATTTATAACACTATGTTCCTGGTTTATTATTATATTATTTCATTATTAGTTCTTAAAAACTTAACAAGGTGCTGAATAATTTTGTGAAATATTCCATGGAGAACTACCATTAAAATAGTGATTACTTTAATTATATTTCATCACCTCATTTCACAAGTCATTACAAAACTTCTTAATTGTTTAAAAATGAATGTACTTGGGTGGGGCACAGTGGCTCACACCTGTAGTCCCAGCACTTTGGGAGGCCGAGGAGGCCAGATCACCCGAGGTCAGGAGTTTGAGACCAGCCTGGTCAACATGGTGAAACCCCGTCTCTACTCAAATTACAAAAATTAGCCAGGCATGGTGGCACACGCCTGTAATCCCAGCTACTCAGGAGGCTGAGGCAGGAGAATTGCTTGAACCCAGGAGATGGAGGTTGCAGTTAGCCGAGATCATGCCACTCCAGCCTGGCCGACAGAGCAAGACTCTAACAAAAAAAAAAAAAAAAAAAAAAAAAAAGGAATGTGCTTATCAGTCCAAGGGAAATAACTATCAAATTAGTCACTGCCCAAGTGTACGTCTTTTTTAGTGAACACAAATTGAGAATTTAGCACTGAATCTCCAAAGATTTAGTTTTTATCTAGGTTTTGAAATTGAATTTTGTTTTGTTTTGTTTTTTGTTTTGAGACAGTGTCGCTCTGTCGCCCAGGCTGGAGTGCAGCGGCGCAATCTCGGCTCACTGCAGGCTCCGACCCCCGGGTTCACGCCATTCTCTCGCCTCAGCCTCCCGAGTAGCTGGGACTACAGGCGCCCGGCGAATTTTTTGTATTTTTTGTAGAGACGGGGTTTCACCGTGTTAGCCAGGATGGTCTTGATCTCCTGGCCTCGTGATCCGCCTGCCTGGGCCTCCCAAAGTGCTGGGATTACAGGCGTGAGCCACCGCGCCCAGCCTGAAATTGTATTCTTAAGTCTCAGAAGGCTGAAGCTTTCAAGACAGGAAGAAGACAGGGATTCCCGAGTTGAACAGAGAGTGGGCCGGGCGCAGTGGCTAAGGCCTGTAATCCCAGCATTTTGGGAGGCCGAGGCGGGTGGATTCCGAGGTCAGGAGATCAAGACCATCCTGGCTAACACAGTGAAACCCCATCTCTACTAAAAATACAAAAAATTCGCCGGGCGTGGGGGCTTACGCCTGTAATCCCAGCTACTTGGGAGGCTGAGGCAGGAGAATGGCGTGAACCTGGGAGGTGGAGGTTGCAGTGAGCCGAGATCAGGCCACTGCCCTCCAGACTGGGCGACAGAGCGAGACTGTGTCTCAAAAAAAAAAAAAAAAAAAAAGGCCGGGTGCGGTGGCTCACGCCTGTAATCCCAGCACTTTGGGAGGCTGAGGCGGGTGGATCACAAGGTCAAGAGATCGAGACCATCCTGGCCAACATGGTAAAACCCCGTCTCTATTAAAAATATAAAAATTAGCTGGGCGTGGTGGCAGGCGCCTGTAGTCCCAGCTACTCCGGAGGCTGAGGCAGGAGAATCGCTTGAACCCGGGAAGTGGAGGTTGCAGTGAGCCGAGATCATGCCATTGCACTCCAGCCTGGGCAACAGAGTGAGACACCCTCTTGAAAAAGAAAAAACAAAAACAAAACAAAACAAAAAGATAGTAAACAAGAAAATACTAATGTAGTTGTTAACTTTGAGAAGGCAGTAATTTAAGACATGGATGTGAATGCAGATAATGGAAGTAAGGAGAGATCAGTGTAGGCCACAGTCCTGTGCTGAGTGCTGTCTTTACCTGTCTTGTAGGGATGGCTCAGATAAAGTCTTAACAAACAGGCAAATGACTGATTTATCTTTTTAGATTCTAAAGTTCATAAGAATAATAATGAGCTTTATAGTTGACAATAGCTAACTAAAATTTGATCTAAGGGGAAAAGAGCGCTCAATGTTAATCAGTCAGTTTAATCTTTCTGTAAACCCTCTCAAAAAGCAAAATTAAATTAGATCATTGTGGTGCACAGATTCTTTTGGTATGTGTGTCCCACCTATAATAAAGTTCTGGGCCAGGCGCGGTGGCTCACGCCTGTAACCCCAGCACTTTGGGAGGCCGAGGCGGGCGGATCACAAGGTCAGAAGATCGAGACCATCCTGGCTAATGCGGTGAAACCCCGTCTCTACTTAAGAAATACAAAAATTGGCCGGACGTGGTGGCGGGCGTCTGTAGTCCCAGCTACTCAGGAGGCTGAGGCAGGAGAATGGCAGAGCTTTCAGTGAGCCGAGATCACACCACTGCACTCCAGCCTGGGCGACAGAGCCAGACTCCGTCTCAAAAACATAAATAAATAAAATAATAAATAAATAAAGTTATTGGCCAGGAGCAGTGGCTTACACCTGTAATCCCAGCACTTTGGGTGGCCGAGGTGGGTGGATCACCTGAGGTCAGGAGTTCAAGACCAGCCTGGCCAACATGGTAGAACTTCCCTCTCTACTAAAAATACAAAAATTAGCCAGGCATGGTGGCGCAAATCTGTAATCCCAGCTACTCAGGAGGCTGAGACAGTAGACTCACTTGAATCCAGGAGGCAGAGGTTGCAGTGGGCCGAGATTGCACCACTGCACTCCAGCCTGGGTGACAGAGTGAGATGCCGTCTCAAAAAAAAAAAAAAAATTTATCTGAGGACTGACCCCACAATGGTGAGCCCTGCCTGCCATGTTTGTGTTATGGAATCATGTCCCATACCTGACCCTATTTATTTAAAGGTAGAACAACTGACCCAACCACATTTTCTCTTTAAAAAGTGGGAATTGGGATTGAGAGATACTGGTCTTTCCCTATGGGTCATTTCAACTTAGAATATTTAAGTTTGGGATCGTTGGTGCTTCCATATTTAACCAGCAGCTTAGAAAAGCAGACATAGTCAATCTGTGGAAAGAAAAGCTGAAGTGATGTGGAGAGAGAAGTTGTGAAAAGCGATCAGAGCGC
Source organism: Homo sapiens (assembly GCF_000001405.40). Lineage (NCBI taxonomy): Eukaryota > Metazoa > Chordata > Mammalia > Primates > Hominidae > Homo > Homo sapiens. The sequence continues at coordinate 61,227,086 of NC_000009.12, read as the reverse complement.
CTGGGAGAGATTTACTTAGGGTAGCTGGAGCTGTTCCTGGAGCTCTTTCCAGACTTTGGTTCTAGCTCTTGAAGCTACCAGGCTTCCAGCCTTTAGAATAATTCCATTTTAACCTCAGAGATTTTGCGCTGGTTCAACACCAAACAAAAGAACACTGAATAAGACAGTAATGTGAGTAGAAAATTCTATGAAATAGAAAAGAAACTTAATGATGCGTCATAGACCATTAATATTCACTTTCCTCCGTCCCATGTATATAGATCACTTCGCCTCTTCCAAAATTCTTATTTCATAATAAAGATTAACTAGTTATTTAAAAGTTAACCATAGCCTATTTATTGTTTATTAACAAATGTGTTTAAAAGGATCAGGTGCTAAACCTTGGAAGAATATTAAGGCAAGATGTTATGAGATCACAGAAGCTTAGTGTTGAAGGGTGCATGCCTTCACGTGGGTACAGATTCCTCTCCGAGTGCTCATTCACCCATTGTGGTGTGAGCCCTGTGTGAAAACTCTTCAGATGCAGACATGAATAAGACAAGGTGTCTGCTCAAAGTCAACTAGAGGAGACAGTAAGCAAATAATTAGAATGTGGAACATGCCATAATCGAAGTGGATGGGTGTCATGGGAGCACAGATCATGGGGTATCTAACTTTGCTTTGGAGGTTAAAGTATAGCAGTCGTGAAGACTTCAAAGGGGAGGTGGATTTTTATTGGAACTGTTGAGAATAAACAAGGATATACATATTTTCAACTATGGCCTGAGGGTATATGAGCTTTAAGAGCTGAACTGTTGGGGGCATTCCAGACCAAGAGGAAGTCGTGGGCAGAGGCAGGAAGGTGAAAGGAGTATGCTGTTTTTGGGAGAAGCATAGTTAGTGCAGAGGGGCTATGACTCAGGGCACACAGGGTGGCAGAGTGTGTCCGGGAGATGAAACTGGCTTACAGGCAGGAAGTGAGGAACAAAGGACCTTCTGAACTTCTTATGGAATTTAGACTTCTATAGATAACAGAGAATCACTGTATGAATACACTGTCATACATTCTTTGAGAGAAAACACATTCATTTTTGAGAATCCTCATTCCTGAGTTCTTCTTTTTGTCTGTGGTACAGCTTCCTGCAGCCCCATCCACCAATTACAGACCTATCTTCTTAGTGTGAGTCTAATGTCTCCTCCATGGGAGGGAGCTGTAGAATTTAAAGTTGACCATCCTGCTCATGCCTGCGTTTTCTCTCTCCTGCAACTAATGCCTTCCTCTCTGTCTGAGACCTGGCATGTCAGGGTAGAAGGCCCTTCACCCTCCTTCTCTTGACAAACTCTGATTTATTGACATCTTACTGAATATCCAATGGCTGGAACTGGGATCAAGCTCTTCAGTGTGGTCTAAAAGCTGGGGGCAGGAGAGACCTCACTCCCTTCAAACTCACTAAGATATGAGGTGACCTCATTATACCACAGGCTTTTGTCAAGGCCACAGGGACATAAACTCAGGTCACTTTTGTTTCACAAGCGTTATTCTAATATTTGTGTTTTTTTGTTTGTTTGTTTGTTTTTTGAGATGGAGTCTCACTCTGTCACCCAGGCTGGAGTGCAGTGGCACGATTCGGCTCACTGCAGCCCCGCCTCCTGGGTTCAAGCAAGTCTTCTCCCTCAGCCTCCCGAGTAGCTGGGAGCACAGGTGCATACCACCACGCCCAGCTAATTTTTGTATTTTTAGTAGAGACAGAGTTTCACCATATTGGCCAGGCAGGCTGGTCTCGAACTGCTGACCTCGTGATCTTCCCACCTCGGCCTCCCAAAGTGCTGAGATTACAGGTGTGAGCCACCACGCCCAGCCTAAATTTGTGTATTTTTAAACTAAAGTGTCAAACTACATTTATCGCCCTCTTCTTAGTTTGGAAAAGTGCTTTGTTTCTGTTAAGATTGTTTTAGGTTTTATCTCTTCACCACACACAGGCTGCTCCTTCCAGTTCAGTATTAGCTGAGAATTTCATTTCAGTCCTCATACAGAGCAGTGATAACAGCTGAATAAACCAGAGCTGAAAGTGGGCCCATGTCCCTCTTTCCTACCTTTCTTTCACACCTGAGTCTGATTGAGTGCAGTATGCAACTTGGATGAGCGTGTGTATGCAAAGTGCACGTCAGCAATGACCATAGCTGGAACAGGATGGAGCTAGCCACCTCTTTATCATCTCCCTGCTCATTCTTTGATGCAGAAAACTAACCATGTCTCAAGCACGTGTAAATAATTCATGCAAAGTTACAAGACATGGTTCAAGTCATGTCCCCTCCAACCACATCAGCACCATGAGCAGTCCTTGAGGGTCTTCAGATAATAACAACACTAAGAGTTAGCATATGTTGAATGCTGTACTACGTATATCATTCTAAGGGGAGAAGCTATGTAGAACCAAAAGTAAGCACAGGCAGCTTCAAGCAGCACAGAGAAACACAACACAGGAGGTGGCTTATTTGATTGTCATTGAAGTTGTGAAAAAGTGTTAAAAACAATAAATACAATAGTTTAAAAAAGAAACAAGGAAAGTATTATATACCATAACAAAGTGGGATGTACTCCGGAATGCAAGCCTAGTTCAACAGTCGAAGATCAGTCCATTATACCAATGGGTTAAAGAAGAAAAATCATGTAATCTTATCAATAGATGCATAAAAAGAATTTGACAATATCTAACAATCATTCATGATAAAAACTTTCAGCAGGCTGGGTGTAGTGGCTCATGCCTGTAATCCCAGCACTTTGGGAGGCCAAGGCAGGAAGATCACGAGGTTAGGAAATCGAGACCATCCTGGCTAACACAGTGAAACCTCATCTCTACTAAAAATACAAAAAAAAAAAAAAAATTAGCCGGGCATGATAGTGTGTACCTATATCCCAGCTACTCAAGAAGCTGAGACAGGAGAATCGCTTGAACCCAGGAAGCGGAGGTTGCAGTGAGCCGAGATCACACCACTGCACTCCAGCCTGGGGGACAGTGTGAGACTCTGCCTCAAAAAACAAAACAAACAAACAGACAAAATAAAAACTTTCAGCAAACTAGCAATAGAGAGAAACTTCTTCAAATTGATTTTTTAAATCTAAAAAACCCCTCCACTTAACATGATACTCAAGCCTGAAAAGTGAGATACTTTCCCACTAAGAACAGGAACAAAACAAGGATGTCTCCTCTTATCACTCTTATTTAACTTTGTGTGGAAAGTCCTAACTAATGCAATAAGACAGAAAAAAGAAATAAAAGGTATACAGATAAGAAAGGAAGTGATAGCGGGGCGCAGTGGCTAACGCCTGTAATCCCAGCACTTTGGGATATCGAGGGAGGCGGATCACGAGACCAGGAGATCGAGACCATCCTGGCTAACATGGCGAAACCCCGTCTCTACTAAAAATACAAAAAATTAGCCGGGCGTGGTGGCGGGTGCCTGTAGTCCCAGCTACTCGGGAGACTGAGGCAGGAGAATGGCGTGAATCTGGGAGGCAGAGCTTGCAGTGAGCCGAGATCGAGCCACTGCACTGCAGCCTGGGTGACAGAGCGAGACTCCGTCTCAAAAAAAAAAAAAAGAAGAAGAAAGTGATAAAACTGTCTTTGTTCATATATGCCATGAGTGCCTATGTAGAAAATCACAAAGAATAAACAAAAAACTCCTAGAATGAATTCTATGTATATAATCTTTTATAAGTGATTACAGCAAGGATGAAGGATACAAAGTTAATTTAAAAAAGTCATTTCTTTTTCTATATGCCATCAATGAACAGTTGAAATTTAAAATTAAAAACACAGTGCCATTTACATTAGCACCAAAAATGAAATACTTAGGTATAAGTCTAACAAAATATGTGTAGTATCTATCTGAGGAAAACTATGAAAATCTGATGAACGAAACCACAGAAGATCTAAAAAATCGACTTACTGCATGTTAATGAATAAGAAAATTCAATATTGTTAAGATATCAGTTCTTTCAACTTGATCTACAGATCAGTATTGGGATCAATGCAGTACTTATCAAAATCCAAGCAAGCTACTTTGTAGATATTGACTAGCTGACTCCAAATCTATAGAAAGTCACGAGATGCAGAAAAGCCAACATAATATTAAAGAAGAACAAAATTAGAGAACTAATGCTTACTGACTTCAAGACTTACTGTAAACTTACAGTAATCAAGAGAGTGTGGTATTGGTAAAGAATAGACAAATAGATCAATGGAATAGAACACAGAGTACAGATAGAGACCCTCACAAATATAGTCAATAGATCTTTGACAAATAAGCAAAGGTAATTCAATGGGAAAAAGATATGCTTCTTAACAAATGGTGTTAAAACTACTGGACAACCACATGTAAAAAAATGAATCTAGATACTGACCTTACACTTCTCACAAAAATTAACTCAAAATGGATCATAGACTTAAATTTAAAGGCAAAACTATAAAACTTCTAAAAGATAGCAGGAGAAAATACAGGTGACCTTGGGTTTGACTATGAGTTTTTAAATACAACCCTATAGTGTGACCTATAGAAGAAAAACTTGCTAAGTGGGACTTTATTATAATTAAAAAAATAAAAAAACTTCTACTGCATGGGTGACACTGTTAAAAGAATTAGAAAACAAGTCACAGGGAGGGAGAACATATCTGATAAAGGGCTAGTATTCAAAATATACAGAGAATACTTGAAACTCTACAATAAGAAAACAAATAATCCAACTTAAAAGTGGGCAAAAGGCCGGGCGTGGTGGCTCACACCTGTAATCCCAGCACTTTGGGAGGCAAAGGTGAGAGGATCACGAGGTCAGGAGTTCAAGACCAGCCTGAACAACACAGTGAAACCTCATCTCTACTGAAAATACAAAAATTAGCTGGGCCTGGTGGCACGTGCCTGTAATCCCAGCTACTGAGGAGGCTGAGGCAGGAGAATTGCTTGAACCTGGGAGGCGGAGGTTGCAGTGAGCCAAGATCACACCACTGCACTCCAGCCTGTGTGACAGAGCAAGACTGCATCTCAAAAAGAAACAAAAAAAAGTAGCTGGAATCATACAGTATATATGTTGATATTATTTTTCCAGCTATATTATAAACTCCACATGGGCAACGTATATTCCCTACCTTATATAATGTATAATATATACAATATGTACCTGGTATAATGTATAATATGTACATATTTAATAAACACTCATTATTATAAATATTCACAAATAAATATACATAATAAATGTTCTCTAATCAACCACATAGAGTTTTTTTTAACACCTTTGAATAATGCAATAGGAACAATCTATTAAAATAAAACAGAAAAATATTCAAATTTAAATGAAACAAAGCAACTGCCAAATTATTAAATCCAAGTTCCTTATCTTAGGGGTCAAATGCAAATATTCTTATAGCTTTTATTGCACATACATGTTGGCGGTCATGGTAAAAGAAGATACAACTCTCAACTTCAATAAAATGTATTTCAATATTCAATAAAATTTCAATATTATAAGGAAACCAAAATGTTGTGTTAGTACCAGGACAGTTGCGTGTGTAGGTACTTGTGATTTCTTTTTCTTTCTTTCTTTCTTTTTTTTCTGAAATGGAGTCTTGCCTTGTTGCCCAGGCTGGAGTGCAGTGGCGCCATCTCAGCTCACTGCAAGCTCCGCCTCCCAGGTTCACGCCATTCTCCTGCCACAGTCTCCCGAGTAGCTGGGACTACAGGCGCCCGCCACCATGCCCGGCTAATTTTTTGTATTTTTTTTTTTTAGTAGAGACGGGGTTTCACCGTGTTAGCCAAGGTGGTCTCGATCTCCTGACCCCACGATCCACCCGCCTCCCAAAGTGCTGGGATTACAGGCGTGAGCCACTGCGCCCGGCCCATACTTGTGATTTCATGTGCACAGTGAGAGTTTGACTCCTTCATCCTCGCCCAAATACTTTTTCATCCCATGACTGTTGGGCTTTTTTTTCCCTTTCTTTCTTTCTTTTTTTAAGATTGCAACTCTATCAATACTGGGATGTCTATTCAAGCTAGCTAAATATGTTGATTAACTTCTCCACTCCCAGCACCTCCTAGAATCCCACTGCAATAACAACAAATAAGAACAAAGGGGCCGGGCGCAGTGGCTCAAGCCTGTAATCCCAGCAGTTTGGGAGGCCGAGGCGAGTGGATCGCTTGAGGCCAGGAGCTCAAGACCAGCCTGGCCAACATGGCAAAACCCCGTCTCTACTGAAAATATAAAAATTAGCCAGGCGTGTTGGTGCGCGCCTGTAATCCCAGCTACTCAGGAAGCTGAGGCAGGAGAAGAGCTTGAACCTGGGAGGCGGAGGTTGCAGTGAGCCCAGATAGCGCCAGTGCACACCAGCCTGGGCCACAGAGTGAGACTCTGTCTCAAAAAATTAAAAGGAACAAAATGAACCCATTTATACAAAGACTACAAGGGTGGAGAGACTTGGATAGCATGCAGGATATTCACAAGCAATTCTGGAAGAAAAATGGCAGATGAGTGCATTCTGTTATTAAAATCACAGCTCAGAGTCCTCCCAGGAAATGGCTGCGGTGTGTAGGGAGCTGTCTTTCACAGTGATGAAAAGAACTCTAGGTTCAGAGTGGGCAGGTATCTGGAAGAACATTTTTTCGCCAGCATCCCTTTATTTATTGATACGTCGATGAGAATAGTACCACAGCCCAATGACATTTATCATTTCAGTTGGCAGTGTCTCTGAGAGCAAGCTGCAAGATTTCCAAGCCTTCACTGAGTCTTCTACTGACATTTAGCTTAATCTTGACAAGTATATCTGACTACTGCAATGTGTTAATGATCAAGGAGTATGTCAAATTATAACATGTCTGCTGCAGGAAATTATGGGGCAATACAGACAGTGTGCACTGGATCAACCATTATCTATGCCTGGTGTTATGACAAAAAGTGATTGATTTTGGCATCAAAATTAAAGTGTTCGTCTGGTTCAACTTGTTCTTTGTACACCGTCCTTCATTATGACAAGCACATATAGCAAAAATACTGTCTTCAATATGAACTGTTGATTATTGATTAAACAGATCACATTTGGATGGGCTGCAGTTTCTGCATGTCTAACGGATGGGATCCTTCTGAGAATGCTAGAGTAGGGAATCATGACACCGAGCCACTTCAGTCATAGACCTTATTCTTGCACTTTTTTTTCTTGCTGGCAATTTTACATAGCAGGTTGAGAAAGCTACTCTATGCTAGTATAGACTATACACCAATAATTTTGATAATGAGTTCCAGGATGTATTTTTCTTCTTATATATTTTCCTTCCTACCATGATACTAGTAATTTATAAGGGGTCTGTGTAGTTTGAATGTATTTGAATAACTTTAGCTCTACTGTTTGATTTGACCCAAAGAAGCGAAGAGGACGTAAATATTCCCATTTAGAAGCCCAAAGTCAGTGAGATGAAACCCAACATCAAGAAATTGAAGCAAAGTTACTTGTGGATAAACAAAGCATTAGGTAAGTTGTCTAGAGCATAATAATTAGATTTACTGGCTTTCAAAAATTTGGATTGCAATAAGAGGAAACTTCATGCTATTTTTACAATTTTCAGTACAAAGGGGTGTATATCTAGAAACAATAAAGTTGTCATATTTGAGTACCTTTTCAAAAAAACGTAACCATAACCTATTTTTTTTTTTTATTAAAAGGACCAGGTGCTAAACCTTGGAAGAATATTAAGGCAAGAGTATTAAGGCATTTTAATTCAGCTTAAGTATCATGTTAAGTGGTGAAATTCAGATGTAATAGAATGCATAAAAGTGTTAATCACCAGTGCTTAAGATGGCCCACAGAGGTTGTTCTACCAGGCATATAGAAATCTTTCTCACTATGCCTGTTTGTGAGCAGGATCAGTGGTTTTGCACTGCAGGCACACATTTCATTTTGTCAAATATTTTTGCAACCTCCCCTCTACTTAATAGTTTAATCACTACATCTATACAAACTACTTGGTCAATGAGGGCCCATTTTACTTGTGTCTTCCAGAAATATTTTGCATTACCCCAAATGACATCTTCCAGCAGATCTTCCTCAGATATAAAGTTTCCAAAAAACTGGCAAATAAAATTACTATCTTCAGAACTTTTCTGTATTTAAAAATAACAATAAAAAGCTATGAATTTACATAAAATTCAAACCATTGTGTTTATAGCCACAGTCCTCCACACAATTTTCATGAGACCATTGGTAAAATCATGTATAAGCAACATTCCTTTATTCCTAGAAAGTAAATGTTTGGTAGAATTCTTCACTGAAGCCATTTAGACCTAGCATTGGAGTCTTTGTGGAAAGGTTTTAAATTACAGCTTCAATTTCTTTAATAGATACCGGGCTATTCTGTCTGTTTGTTTTTGAGTAAGACTAGATAATTGTGTCTTTGGAGAAATTTGTCCACTTCATCTAAGTTGTCAAATCTGTTGGCACAATGTTGTTCATAATTACCATTTATTATCTCTTCAGCATCTGTTGAATCTGTTGTTATGTTACTTCTCTTATTCCTGATAGGTTGTTTTTGTATTCTCTCTTTTTTTCCTGATAAGCCTGAATAGAAGTTTATCAATACTATGGACCTTCTCAAAGAGACAGAGTTTGGTTTCATTTATTTCCTGTAAATGATTTTTCCTGTTTTCTATTGCATTGATTTCTACACTGATGCTTTTTCCTTCCTTTCTTCTGCTTACTGTTGGTTTTATTTTCTTTTCTAGTTTCTTTTTTTTTTTTTTTTTTTTTTTGAGATGGAGTTTTGCTCTTGTAGCCCAGGCTGGAGTGCAATGGCAAGATCTCGGCTCACCGCAACCTCCCCCTCCTGGGTTCAAGCGATTTTCCTGCCTCAGCCTCCCGAGTAGCTGGGATTACAGGCATGCATCACCACACCCGGCTAATTTTGTATTTTTAGTAGAGACTGGGTTTCTGCATGTTGGTCAGGCTGGTTGAACTTCTGACCTGAGGTGATCTGCCTGCCTCAGCCTCCCAAAGTGTTGGGATTACAGGCATGAGCCACCATGCCCAGCCTCATACCTGATTTTATTGTGCTTTGCTTTACTGCACTTCTCAGATACTGCATTTTTTATAAATTGAAGGCATGTGGCAACCCTGCATTGAGCAAGTCTATCAGCACCATTTTCTCCAATAGCATGTGCTCACTTTGTGTCACTGTATCACATCTGGTAACTCTTGCAATATTTTAAATTTGTATTATTATGTCTGTTATGTGATCTGTGATCAGTAATCTTTGATGTTACTATTGTAACTGTTTTGGGGTGCCACGACTGTGCCAATATAAGATGACAAACTTGCCAGTAAATGTGTGTATTCTGACCGCTCCACCGACCATCCCCCATCTCTTTTTTCCTCTCTTCAGGCCTCTGTATTCCCTGAAACAGAACAGTATTGAAATTAGGCCAATTAGTAATCCTACAATCGCCTCTAAGTGTTCAAATGAAAGGACGAATCACGTATTTCTCACTTTAAGTCAAAAGCTAGAAATGATTGAGCTGAGTGAGGAAGGCATCCTGGAAACCAAGATAGACGGGAAGCTAGGCCTCTTTCACCAAACAGTTGGCCAAGCTGTGCATGCAAAGAGAATGTTCCTGGAGGAAATTAAAAGTGCTACTCCAGTAAACACACAAGTGATGAGAAAGTGAAACAGCCTTATTGCTGATATGGAGAAAGTTTGAGTGCTCTGGACAGAAAATCAAACCAGCCACAACATTCCCTTAAACCAAAGCCTAATCCAGAGGAAGGCCCTAACTCTCTTCAGTTCTATGAAGGCTGAGAGAGGTGAGGAAGCTGAAGAAGAAAAGTTGGAAGGTAGTAGAGGTTGGTTCGTGAGGTTTAAGGAAAGAAGCCATCTCCGTAAATTAGCTTTTAAAACTTTTTTAAGCAGGCAATCTCTGACTTTGCTTCAGTAACATTTCCTTCTCCTGCTCTTTCTCATTTTCCCATTGCTCATGCTTATACCTGCCCATCTTTCTCTAGTATTAAAGTTTGGTTAAATGTTTGATCTTTGAATAATATTTTATATTGTTATATGCCTCTGATTTTATCCTCTGGACAAACTTGAGAGACAGTGCAAAAATTTCTTTATATCTTTATAATATAAAGAATTATGGCAAATTTTAAAAGAAGTACCAGCTTTATTGAGGTATAATTTACGTATAATAAACTGCACCCTCTCCACCCCCTCCCCTCACTGTCTACCAAAAAATGTCTGATGATATCCTGGCAATCTGACCCTGCCTGGAAAACACCATAGAGAAAGACAGCAATGTGCTTCCTCACTCTGGAGTTCTATTGGATTTTAATGGCCATAGATGTATTATGAGCCACACAAACCAGCACTAAAGTAGAGATTTTTTTCCAGAAAAGGTGTGCTAAAAAAGCATGTAAATGAAAGCTTTTATTTGTTTTATTTTCAGCAACCAAGACATAAAATTATTAGGTAGGCCATGATACATAAACACTAACCACTGTACCATCCTTTGATGTTCATTGCAATGGATTCAATGTTTGTGCCCCCCACACAAATTCATATGTTGAAATCCTAGCCCCCAAAGTGATGAGATTAGAAGGGAGAATTGCTGAGAAGTGATTCAGTCATGATGGGCCCTGGGAAATGGGATTAGTGCTCTTATCAAAGAGACTAGGAGCACTGGCTTGCCCCTATCACCACATGAGGACACAGCAAGAAAGCACCCATCTATGAACCAGAAAGCAGGCCTTCACCAGACACTGAATCTGACAATGCCGTGATCTTGGACTTCCCAGCCTCCAGAACGATAAGAAACACATTTCTGTGGTTTATAAGTCACCCGGTCTATGGTATTTTGTTGTAGCATCCCAAATGGACGAAGACATAGTTCACTGTCAGTTCAATTGACCATGAAGGATTATGGGGCCTGTGTGTCCCTGGCACTGTGATAGGAACCGGGGAGAACACAGAGGGAAATTAATAATACTTCAGCCTGTATTTTAATAACTTAGAGTTTAGTAGAAATAAACTGAAAGGCATAGCAGGGTGAAAAAAAAAGTGTAAGTAATGTACTAATATTTGTTGAGCCCCACCATATGCTAGACTCTATTGTCTTACTTATACCTCTCAGCAAACCTATAAGTTAGGTCCTATTAGCTGATTTATAGATGGCAAAATAGGCTCAGTGAGGTCAAGTAACTTGCCCTATGTTATAGAGTTATCAGTGGGAAAGTTGAAAGTGGTCAAGGGCTATTTATAGTCAGGAGAAATTAAGCGAGTTTAGAGTCATTCCTTTTCTGTAGCATTACATTAGTCCTGAAATAAAGCAAAATGTATCAAATTCATATACCATATATAAATATATATTTTATTTTATTATTATTATTTTAAGACAGAGTTTCAGTCTTGTTGCCCAGGCTGGAGTGCAATGGTATGATCTTGGCTCACTGCAACCTCCGCCTCCTGGGTTCAAGTGATTCTCCTGCCTCAGCTTCCCGAGTAGCTGGGATTATAGGCATGGACCAACACATCCGGCTAATTTTGTATTTTTAGTAGAGACATGTTGGTCAGGCTGGTCTCGAACTCCTGACCTCAGGTGATTCACCTGCCTCGGCCTCCCAAAGTACTGGGATTACAGGCATGAGCCACTGCGCCTGGTCCTGTATTTTAGATAAGAAAGATGCTTTATCTGTCTCCCATTGGAATACATTTTTGTTGTTCGTTTTTTTTAACTTAATTAAACTTGAAAGCCAACTTTTGTCAAAACAGAAGAAAATAAAGCAATTTTTAAAAAAATCCAGTATTTAAAATACTTGTCATTTATAATATATGCATATAACAGAAAAGTAGAAAATAATTTTGCATTTTAAAAGCTTAGCTTCTACATGGCAAGTGTGGGACATAAAGTTGATACTTGACCATTAACTGGATATATTCTAGATTTTCACATTTAATGATAATGGATGTGTGTGTCTCATGGTCAAACTAAAATGATTTATTTTTTACAAATTATCTTTATCATTAGCAAACCAGTCTTACTTTTATTAGTCAATTATAAGTCCACAGAGATATAGGAGCTCAATTTGTTACAGGGAACTTGAGCATTCCATGGATTATCTGAGCTGAATTTGAAGAATGTACTGTGGAGATCTTCTATGTGACATATATAAAGGACGTAGGTCAACTACTGGTTATTATTTAGAAAATACTTTAGGGAAAAAAATTATCTTCTGGGGCCAATAATTGAGTTCTATTAAACTACAGAGGTAGATAATTTTGAAATGAGAAATCAAAATATATTTTGATTTTATATTACTCATATTTTCATTTTATTCATAAAGTCTTTTGGAAAAAGACAACAGAAATTGTACTTTGTTGAGAAGACTCCTAGAGCCAAATAGTCACAGACTCAGAATACACAGAGACAAGCAAAGATGGTTCCAGCAAGCTCTAAGGACACAGACATGTGAAAGAGGTGCTGAAGACACACGAGGACTGATGCATGGTAGATGTCATCCTGATATGGCTGGGCTTCTGGACTCACTGCCTCCTCCTTCTAGAACCCAGCACCTCCAAGGCTGGGAGAAGAGAAGTTTGGGGTCTATGGGAAATGACCTCTGGAAGTGGCTGTGACTGTTTCCAAAGACAAATACAATCTAGATTCTCGAAACAATGCAAATGAATAAAAAATGTAAGTTTAGCAGTTAGTGAAACATTAAGATGAGATACAGGAGTAAACACATTTTTTTCCATAAAAGTAGTGAATGTTAAATAATGAAATACAGTGGTAAAACAATTACAGCCTGGAGGCTTTAAGATGTAAATCAAAAATGGAGACCAGTGGTGTTAATATCATATGAGAGGATTAAATATGAGCTGCTGGTCCAACTGTGTTCTGCAGGAATTCAGGTAGATGGATGAGAGACAGGCTATGAGTAAAGCATTACCACAGCTGGGGGTGCAGTGTATGGAAGCTCATCCTAGCTAACACTTGGAGAAGAACTCACACATTGCAAACATATCCGGTTAAAAACTGGCATTTGCTGCAACTAAAAAAGGCAAGTGATGGTCTAGGTGAACTGCCTTTTCTTTCTCTCCTTCCAAAGGACAAAATTAATTTTTATTTTTTTTTGAGACGGAGTCTTGCTCTGTCACCCAGACTGGAGTGTAGTGGTGTGATCTCGGCTCACTGCAAGCTCTGCCTCCCAGGTTCACACCATTCTCCTGCCTCAGCCTCCCAAGTAGCTGGGACTACAGGTGCCCCCCACCACGCCTGGCTAATTTTTAGTATTTTTTAGTAGAGACGGGGTTTCGCCATGTTAGCCAGGATGGTCTCAATCTCCTGACTTCGTGATGTGCCCGCCTTGGCCTCCCAAAGTGCTGGGATTACAGGTGTGAGCCACCGCACCCGGCCCCACAAAATTAAATTCTTAATTAAGGAAACTGTTTCTTTTACATCTATTTTTTCATCCCAAACTCAAATGCCAAATATTTAGCTATTATACATGTATTCATTTGCTTAGAATACACTCTATCCAGCTTGACATTTCTTTTAAATTTTCCCATTACATAATTAGATTCTTGATCCTCATTTATGTGATGTTTCCATCCTGTGCTGGGTTTTATGCTCCAAATACATGTCCTTTCATACTTTAATGGACACAAATGTGCTTTATAAATATTTTGAAATCCATTTTAAGGTAATTTATTGAGTGAAAATTCTGTGCTCGGTATTTTATTGGGGTCAGTGGTGGGGTAGGAGAAGGAAAGGACATGGCTTTTGCCCTCTAAGGAAGTTGCAGGGAAACTGTCTCTGATTTCATTATCAAAGCGAGGCCCCTTTCTATTTCTCCATTTCAATACCTTTTCTACTGACTTCAGATCTATCAGATGTTATAATTATTTCCCACTTGTGTTTGTGTAACTGTGTTCTGACTATCCACACATTAGGTGTGGGCTCTGTGAAAGCAGGGACCATATTGATCCTGTTCAGTGTCATACCATATCCCTAGCATAGAACTAGTACAGGCATAACAAAGATCTGTGAAAAAGTAAATGCATGCATAACTCAGTTGATCAATTAATGTACATCACTTGGCAGAAGAATAAAAGGATCACGAGAGCAGATGAAAGAAGACTTTATATTTTGCAGAAGAAAATTTTCTGTGTCTTCAAATGATCACAAATATAATTAATAAAGTTGATGAGGCTTTCTTCAAAATGGTGCTTGTAGAAAAAGTGAGAGAAAGGCAAAACAAGAGAAATAATATGGATATTTAGCATTCTGGATGTTTGCTAAGTGACAATTTAATCACAAGAATACACTTCACAGGCCGGGAGCGGTGGCTCACACCTGTAATCCCAGCACTTTGGGAAGCTGAGGCAGGCGATCACGAGGTCAGGAGATCAAGACCATCCTGGCTAACATGGTGAAACCCCATCTCTACTAAAAATACAAAAACAAAATTAGCTGGGCGTGATGGTGGGCGCCTGTAGTCCCAGCTACTCAGGAGGCTGAGGCAGGAGAATGGCGTGAACCTGGGAGCTTGCAGTGAGCTGAGATCGCGCCACTGCACTCCAGCCTGGGCGACAGAGCGAGACTCCGTCTCAAAAAAAAAAAAAAAAAGAGTACATTTCACTCCATTGTCGAGAGAGAGAGAGATATATATAAAATACATATTAAATTATGTGTGTGTATATATATATCTTTTAAGACCAATTTTATTGAGATATAATTTATAGACAGTTAAAGTCACTCATGTTGTGTATAATACGATTAGAATTTTGACAAATGTGTACATACAGTTGTATAATTGGTGCCACCATCAAGATATAAAATATTTCCATTACCCATAAAAAGTTTCCTCAGTCCCTTTTGTGGCCAATGAATCCCCACCTTCCTGCAACCAATGGTTTTCTTTCAGAGACTATAGTTTTTTGTTTTCAAACTTTCTGTGAATAGAATATTACACTGTGTATTTGATAATTGTTTTCTTTCAATCAGCATGGTGTTTTTAAATTCATATATGTTATGTATATTACTACTTCATCCTCTATTTTTGCTTAGTAGTATTCCTTTTCTAGCTAGAAAGTAGTATCAAGATACTAAAATATATTTGTTCATCACTTGTTGATAGGCAACTATAAATAAATTTATTGCCATAAGCATGTGTATACAAGCTTTCTGTGAGCATATGTTTTCATTTTTCCTGTATAAATTTCTACAAGTGAGATTTTGGGGTCATATGGTAAATCAGTACCAAAGTATTTTCCAAAGTAATGTATTATTCTTCATTTTCATCAGCAATATGTGGGAGTTCTAGTTGTTCTACATCTTTACCAATATTTGGAATCATCAATCTTCTTAATTTTAGTCATTCTTTTTTTTTTTTTTTTTTTTGAGATGGAGTCTCGCTTTGTCTCCCAGGCTGGAGTGCAATGGCACAATCTTGGCTTATTGCAACCTCTGCCTCTCAGGTTCAAGTGATTCTTCTGCCTCAGCCTCCCAAGTAGCTGGGATTACAGGTGCCTGCCACCACGCCTGGCTAATTTTTTTATTTTTAGTAGAGACAGACAGGGTTTCACCATATTGGCCAGGCTGGTCTTGAACTCCTGACCTCATGATCCGCCCTCCTTGGCCTTCCAAAGTGCTGGGATTACAGGCATGAGCCACCGCGCCCGGCCTTGATGACGTCTCTCTTTCACTTTTGTTCCTGACAGTCCAGACTGCACAATTTCGGATGTGGGAGACTGGGTGATTTCTTTGATCTTCCCAACCAAATATGACTTACTTAAGGATTTTACCTGTAAAATACATTATTAAAGGTTAAGAGAAGGGTGACAATGGTGGCCTCCTTAGCTTAACTGAATGGTTATGGTTTTTAGTTGTAGTTGCAATCTTATGCTTGTGTGGTTCTTTGATTAGTGTTTGCTTTCTCTATCCTATACTATTAACTTCATGAGAATAGGAAAATTATTCCTCTTTGAACTCACCATTGTATTCCCAATTCTAGCACAGCGCCTGGGATTTCCTCTGTATGTGTTTTTGAAATGCACCCAATAGATCCACAGACAGATTTTAAAAATATAAACATAGAAACAAATCCTTCTGGTCTTGAAGCTTGAAACTTACATTTGTTTTCTCTGAGTTTCTTCCTCAGGAAATGGACTCTCAGCTCTCTCAAAAAGTATCAAAGAAGTGAAATTCATCAGACCACTGTGTCGAGACAATGAGATGCCAGATGCCAGATTCCTTATTTGTCATGATTGCTTCCTTAGCCCTCCCTAGTTCCTGTTTTCCTGCTCATAGTTACATTTCTTCCTTGCTATATAATCCCCTAATTTCGGCTGGTTGAGGAGATGGAATTGAGACTGATATCCCATATCCTTAGCTGTAGCATGCAATTAAAGCCTTCTTCCTTGGCAATATTCATTGTCTCAGTGATTGGCTTTCTGTGTGCAAGTAACAGAACCTAGATTGAACTCCTGGTATTTCAGTAACATTTTGTGTGTAAGAAAGAGGCTGGAGGAAGGAGAGTAGGGGAAATAGGAAGAGTGTCTTAATATTTTTGTTGCTATAACAGAATACCACAGACTGAGTGATTTATAAAGAAAATAAATGTATTTAGCTCTGAGGCCTAGGAATGCCAAGAGCATGATGCTGGCCTCTGGAGAAGGCCTTCTTGCTGCCTAACAACATGGCAGGGGGCATCACATAGTGAGAGAGCAAGAGCAAAAGGGCTTATGATAAGGAACCCACTACTATGCTAGTGACATTAATCCATTCATGAGGGCAGGACTGACATAAATCTATTCATGAGGGAAGAGGGATTAAGTTTCCAATCTATGAACTTTTGGAGGATACATTCAAACCATAGCAGAAAGACAGACAGAGATAGATATGGAAAGAGGGAACAAGCACACATCACACATACAAAAACTGGACAATATTTTTGTAAATGAAATGCCTAGAGCCTCTCTCGTATATTGTATTTGTTGATATTTTCTCAATTTAAACTTATCACTCCATAATTTCTCTTTTTCTTCCCCAAAATGATGTACATGTTTCTTCCTTATAACCATAAAACACAGTAATTGTTTCCTGGAAAATTTTAAATGTCTCACTACAATTCAAGTATCATACTTACTATATGTTTTTTATCTTCTGTATATTTTGAAAATGTAAGAGCATTATTGTCTTATACAAAATAGGTGCTAGCAGAGTGAAGAGACAACCAAAAATAACTCAATAAGAAATGGACAAATGATCCAAATAGACATTTTTCAAAAGAAGACATACAGGCCAACAGGCATATAAAAAATGCTCAATATTACTAATCATTAGAGAAAGGCAAATTAAAAACACTTTGAGATATCACCCCATACGTGTTAGGATGGTTATTATAAAATGACAAAATATAACAAGTGTTGGAGAAGACTTGAAGGAAAGGCATCATGGAAAATAGCATGGAGGTTCCTTCAAAAATTAAAAATGAACTACCATATGAACCAGCAATCCCACTACTGGGTATATATCCAAAGGAAATGAAATCCGTATGTCGAAGAGATATCTGCAACACCATATACATTAAATCTTATTTATATATTAGCCCAAGATGTGGAAACAATGTAAGTGTCCATCAGTGGATGAATGAATTTTAAAAAGTAGTATATATACACAATGAAATACTATTCAGCCATAAAAAATAATGAAATCTTATTATTTGTGACAACGTGGATGAACCTGGAGGACATTATGTTAAATGAAACAAGCCAGGCACAGAAAGACCATATGATTTCACTTTTATGTCGAATCTGAAAAAGCTAAACTCATAGAAGTAGAGAGTAGACTGGTGGTTACCAGGAGCTGGACTTGGGGTGGGGAGTGGGGATGTTTATCAAAGGATTCAAAATTTCATTTAGGAGAGGGGAAATATTCAAGAAGAGATCTACCGCACAACATGGTCACTATAGTTAATAACAACATATTGTATTTTTGAAAAAAAATGCAAAGAAACAAAGTAAGTATTAAATAAAAACTGGTTCTTTGAAGCTTTGGCACTGTAATATATGAAGGCCAGAAGCCACATTTATATAGTTCCGTTTCTTGAGCATCCAAGACAATGGATGAGATGACAGTGTTGAGGAAGACAGGTCACTCACTGCGAACACTAGATTCAGCTTCTCCCCCTGCTGTTTGACTCATTCTGCAGAAGGTGAGAATTTATCTGAAGGAGTTTACATATTTTTATGTGACAATGTATTCCTGAGAAGATACCAAATTCTTTCTTCTACATCAAAAATACAGCATGAAACTGACAAGAGAGCACATAAATGATGATTTTTTTTTTTAAGTTTCCAGGAATATCACATGTATCATATTACTGAAAAGAAAAAGAGCATTTTATGCCATGAAAAACTTTGGATATCCTTGAATAATGTTGACTAAAAACAGTGAGTTTATTTAGTATTCATTGTGTCTATATTTGGAGTGTATATTTTTAGTATTTGTCATCTTGCTTATCAAACTCCTGAATCTCACTTAAAAAGTATTTTCCAAAGTTTTTGAAATTTCTCCACAAAAGAAGAAAAAACAAAAAAGCAAGTATTGGAAGTCAAATAGGTTTGAGAAATATTATGACACATGTCCTTCTTGCACATCATAAAGCCTCTAACACTTTTCATAGTAAACCAATAAATGAAACTCAGACTTCTTGCTTTGCTTAATCAAAAAATTAAAGTTTTCCAAACTTCTTTGACTACAGAATCTTTTGACAACACAATATTGATCATTGCACACTTTGAGAGATATTACTCTACAAAAGTCACTGCACAGCACCACTAAAATATGGTGACCGATAAAATGGGCAAAGGTCATTCAGTGAAAGTTTCAAAGCAAAGAGAATGAATGAATATATATATATATATATATATATATATATATATATATATATATGGATGTCTACTTTTTGGATTACAGTTTTCAGATTATGTTTGTTTTAAATAAGCCAGTCTGCTTTCATAATAATTATACTTTTAAGCCATTTTCTGATGAGACATTTGTCATCATGAGAACAATGTAGTAAAAGTTTGTTACACTGGGGATTAAGATATTAGAGTTTCCATTCAAGATTCCCTAATACTGGAAGAGGTTCACTTAAATTCCATGATTCTATGAGAGGAGTCAAATCTGAGGTGCAGGCTCTGCACCTTCCCAGGCCTGCAGGGGCTTTGCACCTTCTTGCGGAACAGTTGCCAGCTGTTATCGCTTCACTCTTAGGTCACTGCCTTCAGTCAAGTCTTTTTTTTTTTTTTTTTTTTAGACAGAATTTCGCTCTTGTTGTCCAGGCTTGAGTGCAATGGTGCAGTCTCGGCTCACTGCAACCTTCGCTTCCCGGGTTCAAGCAATTCTCCCGTCTCAGCCACCTGAGTAGCTGGGATTACAGGCACCCGCCACCAAGCCCAGCTCATTCTTTTTGTATTTTTAGTAGAGATGGGGTTTCATCATGTTGGCCAGGCTGGTCTTGAACTCCTGACCTTGGGTTATGCACCCACCTTGGCCTCCTAAAGTGTAGGGATTACAGGCGTGAGCCACCATGCCCGGCCCCAAGTCAAGTCTTTTTCACAGCCTTGGTTCACCATAAAACTAAGGTGGACAATTGTCATGGACAGAATTGTGTTGCCTCAAATTTATGTTGAAGTCCTCACCTCTAGTACCTCAGAATGGGGCTGTATTTGGAAAGAGGACCTATAAAGAGGTAATTGAGGTAAAATTAGGTTATATGGGTGGGCCCTAATCAGTAAGACTGATTTCCTTGTAAGACAAGGAGATGTGGACAGAGACCACACACAGACCACAGGACAATCATGTGAGGACACAGTAAGAAGGTGGCCATTGGCAAGGGAAAAGAGAGAGGCCTCAGAAGAGACCAAATGTGCTGATTCCTTGACCTTGGACTTCCAGCCTCCAAAACTGTGAGAAAAGAAATTTTTTATGGCTGCATAGTATTCCATGGTGTATATGTGCCACATTTTCTTAAAAATGATGAGTTCATGTCCTTTGTAGGGACATGGATGAAATTGGAAATCATCATTCTCAGTAAACTATCACAAGAACAAAAAACCAAACACCGCATATTCTCACTCATAGGTGGGAATTGAACAATGAGAACACATGGACACAGGAAGGGGAACATCACACTCTGGGGACTGTTGTGGGGTGGGGGGAGGGGGGAGGGATAGCATTGGGAGATATACCTAATGCTAGATGACGAGTTAGTGGGTGCAGCATACCAGCATGGCACAGGTATACATATGTAACTAACCTGCACATTGTGCACATGTACCCTAAAACTTAAAGTATAATAATAATAAATAAACAAAGAAAGAAAGAAAGAAAAAAAGAAATTTATGTTACTTAAGCCACTCAGTCTGTGGTATTTTGTTATGGCAGCCCTAGTAAACTAATACAAATATTTTTAGGGACAACAAACCATGGACTTTGTTATTCTAGTAAGATGACTTTAGCACTATTACCTACTTCTACCTTGAAGTGGTAAAAAAAGGCAGTGAGAAGCATTTCCATGGAGTGTATAAATCGTGTCCCGTGAAACAGAATTAGCTAATAAGGTTAACACCTGTCAGCTGTATATGATGCTGCGTCTCCAATCTCCATCCGGACAGCAAAGGGGAAGGCATGGACAGGAGACCTGCCTTCAGAAGAGCAGCTGACAAAGGGGCCCACAGCCTGGGGACGGTGACGGCAGTAGCCCCCCGAGGCCTGGGATCCCACAGCACAATTGTGAAGGGAAAGTCTTACTTGCTGGGCCCAGATGTGTAATTTTCTCCCACCACTGTTTTTTTTTGTGAAAAATTCTTAAATAAACATGGTGTTGGACATTTTTCTGACTAGGAAGTTAGGATATTTGCTTTTCTAGCATCTTTATTAGATGACTTTTTATGTTTGCAAAGTCACTCAGAAAAAACTTCATCCTCCCAACACCTCCCTGGACCACAGTCCCCACAAATGACATTGAACTCACAACATAAAGGAACTCACCACTAGGTAAATAGGTGCTTGACTGTGATTTAACACCTGAATTACTAAAATTGATTGCAATAATTATCCAAAGAAAAACAGCCAAGTGCAGCAGTAACGACAGCCTCTGAACTCTCTCCACATCTTCTTGTGGACAGCCTTTGAGCTCTCTCCATGTCTTCTCCGGGACAGCCTCTGAACTCTCTGCACGTCTTCTTGCAGACAGCCTCTGAGCTGTTTCCATGTCTTCTCCGGGACAGTCTCTGAGTTTCTGAGCTCTTTCCACGTCTTCTCCGGGACAGCCTCTGAACTCTCTCCACGTCTTCTCTGGGACATCCTCTGAGCTCTCCACGTCTTCTCTGGGACAGCCTCTGAGCTCTTTCCACGTCTTCTCTGGGACAGCCTCTGAGCTGTCTCCACGTCTCCTCCAGGACAGCCTCTGAGCTCCCTCCACATCTTCTCTGGGTCTCCTGTGGAGTCTGATCACCTTTCAGTTAAGGCATCTCCTGTGAGCAGCCCAGTTGGCTACTCTGAGTTCTGGGGGTAGCTGTCCTTGGTTTCTCTGAATTGCCCAGAAACCAACCTTTCTGTTGCCCATCGTAGTGCCTACGTGGCTTAGCTGGAGCCCTACCCTGCTTTTGTTGCCCAACAAATGCCTATGTGACAGAGCTAAATTCCCATTCAGCTTTAACTGCTTAGTTTTAGAAAACAGGATGTCTGGGGTCAGAAGTTCCTTCTTAGGACTAAACTGGCTGAAGCTGGCAAAATCCGCAATGGCAGCTTGACCTCTGAAAAACCTCTAGCTTCATTATGATCCAATTTCCATGCTAAATGACACTCCCACTGGCACCTTGACAGTTGACAATCACCATGACAATGGCCAGAAGAGACCAAAAACAGGCAGAAAAGAGGTGGCTCTTTGATTCCAAAAAAACCTACCTCCCTTCCCAAGAAAAGCTATGAATATTTCTCCCTTTCCTCTGTATACCCAGCCCCTTCATTAAGAATCCTCAGTTCTCAGGCTCTGAGAAGTTGATTTGCAGGCTATGCTCCCACTTCTGCAATTCCATGGCCATTGAAAAAAGCCCACACTGTTTGATACTCACTCTCGGTTTGGTGTATTGGCTTCACACCAAACAAGAAAGAGCTCCTTTAGGGGTAGTCAGGACCCTGATTATATTCCCACATAGAAACTGTTCCCACTCACTACTGGCACAGCAGAACACATAAACTGTCAGATGGCTCCATTTCAATGATTTGACTTGTAATTCTCAATTGTTTCTGTTCCTAAGATTTTAGGACTTTCTATCAACTCATAAAAAAAATCTTTAAAAAGGTAAGGCAACCTTCAAATCTAAGATGCTCAGCTTTAAACTAGTAAGTTCTTAAGGATGTTTTTTTTCCTTCAAGGAAACTATTCTCCTCTTTGCTGAGCAATAATACAGGTTTTAATATTAAATAAGTACACAAAGTAAAAGAAACAGACAAAAATGTCTTCATAGCAAGGCTGTTAACAGATTTCTTTCTTTTTTTTTTATTTTTGAGATGGGGTCTCACTCTGTTGCCCAGGCGGGAGTGCAGTGGCACAATCTCAGCTCACTGCAACCTCTGCCTCCTCAGTTCAAGTGATTCTCCTGCCTCAGCCTCCCAAGTTGCTGGGATCACAGGTGCCTGCCATCACGCCCGGCTAATTTTTTTGTATTTTTAGTAGAGACGGGGTTTTGCCATGTTGGCCAGGCTGGTCTCAAACTGCTGACCTCAGGTGATCCGCCCACCTTGGCCTCCCAAAGTGCTGGGATTACAGGCATGAGCCACCGTGCCTGGCCAGATTTCTAATATACGTAAAGAAAAAAGAAAAATTTTCAAATATTTGTTTAGATAAGTACTGATATTTAAAAAAACAACCAAGCCTAAATCCCTAGATTTACAATTTTTAAAAAATAAGAAAAGCAATGTAATTCACAGAATAAAATCTTTTGGAGTAAAGTAATATAACTCTAACAAATTGGTAAATCTAGGCAAGAAATGACTTGCCCAAGTAACAGACCTAGTAGGTGGAGAGTTCATCTGACTCCAGAAACCACACTCTACAAAATAAACTTATTGACGTGAAGAATGTATATAATCTGTAACTGGTGTGAAACTGTGGCAGAAATACAAAGAGCCGTGGTCTTGCTCATGATGTTCAAAGGCAATATTTGAACTGAGGGATGGCTGTGTGAATTGAAGTGGTCACTGGAGAAACGTGTTTGAGATTGTGAACCATGGGGAACAGGGGGTGGTAATTCTGGATTTTCGGCATAGAGGAGAAAGAAAGAACTGCAAACATCATTACAGTGAAGGAGGGTGAGGCCCTCCGAAAACTGATTGCGTTTCACCAGAAACACTGATCCAGTGGGGGCAGCTGAAGCACGAAAATGATTAGAACCAGAGTGATGTCACCCACTTTTCTTTCTTTCTTTCTTTTTCTTCTTTTTTTTTGAGACAGAGTCTCGCAGTCTCGCTCTGTCTCCCAGGCTGGAGTGCAGTGGCGCGATCTCGGCTCACTGCCAGCTCCGCCTCCTGGGGTCACGTCATTCTCCTGCCTCAGGCTCCCGAGTAGCTGGGACCACAGGCGCCCCCACCATGTCCGGCTAATTTTTTTGTATTTTTAGTAGAGAGGGGGTTTCACCGTGTTAGCCAGGATGGTCTCGATCCCCTGATCTCGTGATCTGCCCGCCTCGACCTCCCAAGGTGCTGAGATTACAGGCGTGAGCCACCGTGCCTGGCCGATGTCACCCACGTTTCTTAGGAAAGACGTTAGCATCCTCTAAATCCTCACCGACTGTGCCTGGCGCAGCATTATTTTGCAGTTTTCTGGGATTTACAGTTGGCATCATTTGCACAGCGGCAGCGTGACGTGGCTGTGGAGAGCACGGAAGCTCTGTCCCCACGGAAGTGGGCTCTTCTGGTTGCAACATGGTGGAGGCCAGCGCGGCCTCAGGTGAGGGAAGATGCCACAGCAAACCTCTGAGCAACCAAGATGACAAGCACCTGCTTGGAAAAGGTGACAAGCCACAAGGCCATAGGCCCAGTTATAAGGATGAATTGTGTTACACGAATGGTTATAAACCTGACCGACCTCAGAAGGTATATGGAGGAGGCAATTATCAAGCCCCTTGATGGTCTGTGGCTGGATGCACCATACTTTGCCAACGGTGTGAGCATGGCAGAGAATGTAGGTGTGTATATAGGGGAAAACCTCCAGAAAGTTTTTTCTGTGGGAGTTCTTTGTAAAATAATAACAATGCAACTGGAATTATATTGCAATCTATAAAGGGAAATCACTCTTAGGGATCAACATTGTAGAAAGACAACTTGTTTTTTGCTTCTTTGCTCAGTGTTAAGAAGTCATCACATCATTGTCACCCTCCCCACATTCTGTTCTGTAGTGCCCGATTTGTTGAAAGCAGTATGAGGCCTGTTTTAAACATAAATCTATTCTAAATCTAAATTTGTAATACATTCTGAATGTCATTTAGACAGTCTTTTGCCTGGAGATTAAAAATTACTTTATTTCTAGCAAAGTGCTCTGACGTAAAATATTTTAACAACAAAGAAGATCTGTGTTTGTTGTTTTCTCCATTATCTAATTATTGATATCCATTTCATCTGGGCACATATAAATGGTAAAAATATTTACAAGCTTTGAATTAGGTGAATCTAATTAAAAATAAAATATAGATGTTAATAGAGCCTGGAAATATTGTCAATATCTTTTTAATAGATTGAGCCCCGTTGATTATTTCTTCTGGGGTAAAGGCTCAAATTTATTCTGTGAAATTAGACACTCAAATCATCTGAGGCAATATATGGCAGATGAATATACACTGATTGATGGAAATGTTGCTTTAATGCACATTGTTCATTGCAATTTTGCGTAGATTACTGAACTATGAATTACTATTGAGGAACAGCACATTCAACGTGTCATAGCAATCAACTATTTAGTATGGACATTTTCTATGTTTCTAGATTTTCTGGCCACTCTGAGCAAATTTAAATCAAATGACTGAAGTATAATCACTTATTTTAACTCTGTTAAAACAGTCAACTTGAAAAGTATATTTTTCTGTATGAATTTTTTTTTCTAATTGACTCTATTTTGTTCTGATACCTAAACTTATTTAAGTTGCGCTGTTGAAAAAAACTATAGGCCAAGCGCGGTGGCCCATGCCTGTAATCCCAGCACTTTGGGAGGCCGAGGAGGGTGGATCACGTGGTCAAGAGATCCAGACCATCCGGGCTAACACAGTGAAACCCTCTCTCTACTAAAAAAAAAAATACAAAAAAATTAGCCAGTCATTGGTTGCTGGCGCCTGTAGTCCCAGCTATTCAGGAGGCTGAGGCAGGAGAACGGTGTGAACCCAGGAGGCTGAGCTTGCAGTGAGCCAAGATCACGCCACTGCACTCCAGCCTGGGTGACAGAGCAAGACTCTGTCTCAAAAAAAAAAAAAAAAAAACAACAAAAACAAAACTATATATATATGTATATGTATAATCTGAAGATCCATGTCGATTCCATTATTTTACGATGCAGTGACATTATAAGGAAGTGGAAAAATTAAGTTAAAATTTTTTAATTATGATGAATATAGAAAGGGGATTTCTTGTTGAAACAAATAGGCTAAAAGAGCCTTGATGTCAGCTATGCCTCTCTTAGAGAAAAGACTGTGACCCTGTCATCCCGTTGGATAATCTAGTGATATGCTTTAACAGCTATTGTTAAAATAGATTTTACCAAGGCAAGGACAACAGTTTGCTTATGAGCAATGAGAAGTAAGTAGTCTTACCAGAGTGCACCCTTTGGAAAGTGCTGCGTATATAATTAGTGAGGCCATTCATAATTCATTTTTATTGTACAAATGCTGATTAAATGTATACCTTCTTCCACTCAAATGTTAACGTGTCCCTTCCTCAATACATTTTATTAGGCTATGTATATATCTCAAGCATAGATTAATTTGTTTTGTAAGATTTCAAAACATTCCTTTTTTAGCCCTGTAATGAATATAAAATGGATCCCTACTGCCCATCTTAGAGAATGCGTGTTTCATAGAACTGTTTAAAAAATAAATCCTTTTAAATTGCCCATCTGCTTAAGCTATGTTTGTGGAACATTAGGACTAAGTCATGTCTGACAAACATGTGTCATACTACTATTTGAGGGCATTACTGCATTTTAAGGAATAAAATAATATTATTAAGAAGTATAATTTTTCCAAGTGATACAATAAGAATATTGCTAGAGATTTGACCTATTTGTGAAAAATCTTTGCATGATTATTAGCTTGCTAAAAATAAAATGAACTCTGCAAACGTGATCCAAGCTGTTCTGTATGAAATTATGTGCTAGTTGCACAGTCCCCTGGGAGACCAGTGTGAGTCCAGATGCCTCTTTGCTGGTTTGTTTCATTTCTGGGGTTCATTTTCTAGAGGTTTTTATCATATTTTCAAAGTACAGAAGTCAGGCATCTCAAATTCAAGTCTTGTCTCCCCCAAACTTTAAAAAATATATGACATTGATGTAATTTGGCTGGATAATAACAAACTGAACAAATAAGATATTTTCTTTCATTGAAGGTTGGTAACATTTTCTTCACTTAAAAATTTTTGGTTGGGCACAGTGGCTCATGCCTATAATCTCAGCACTTTGGGAGGCCGAGGCGGGTGGATCACCTGAGGTCAGGAGTTCGAGTCCAGCTGGCCAACATGGTGAAACCCTGTCTCTACTAAAAATACAAAAATTAGCCGAGCATGGTAGTGCACACCTATAATCCCAGCTACTCAGGAGGCTGAAGCAGGAGAATCTCTTGAACTCCAGAGGTGGAGGTTGCAGTGAGCCAAGATTATCCCACTGGACTCCAGCCTGGGCGACAGAGCAAGACTCCATCTCAAAAAATAATTTAAAAAAATGAATTTTCTAAATTGTGGGTCAGAATTCAAGCTAATGGAAACCTGTGGAAGAAAGAATTTTGCAGGTCTGCCTGTGGAATCCATAATTCTTTTCAGAGGCAGCGCTATTACAAAAAAAAAAAAAAAAAGTGTGAGGATGTCCCCAAGCAGAAAACCGCCTTCACTGCAATGCTGACAGTATCTGGGTGTCCCAGGGTTCCTGGGGAGTGCAACTGATATCCCGGCTGTGCTGCTACTGTGCTGAGTGGTTTTATATCCACTGAGAAGGATGTGTCAACAGGTGGCTGCTCAGGCACCTAAAGAATGGATGGATGTGAGGTCTCTGTGAAGCCTCTGGGCCAGATCTCTGAGGAGTATCTGTGAGGGGCATCTCACCTATGGTGAGGACGCTGTGTGAGCGCTGCATGGGAGGCCTCAGTGCCAGGCTCCTGGTGAGAACTCTGAGTGAGGTCTCTGTGGAGCACGCAGAATGCGTGAGTTCTGTGTGGAAAGTCTCTAAGAAATCCGAGTCAGTTTCTGTACGAGGCCTGTGAGGCCACATGAGGTCTCTGTGGGAGGACTCCATGGGGCAGCAAGAGGGCTCCATTGCCTCTTGTGAGGCCTCTGTATGAGGCCTTTGCAGAAGGTCTGTGTGGGAGGTATCTTCCAGAGGTCTCTGTGGGGTCTCTGTGGGAAGTCCCTGTGTGAAATCTCCGTGCTAGGTCTCTGTGTGAGGGACCATGGACTATATGAAGTCCCTGTGTGAGGACCCTGTGTGAGGACCCTGTGAAAGCCCTACAGAATCTCTGTGTGGAATGTTTGAGGGAATTCTATGTGAGAGGTTTCTGGGCAATGAGTGTGGAGCAACCTGAGGCCTGTGTGAGGAATCTATACAAGGTCTCTGTGGAGAGTGGGAGGTCTCCAGGCAAGGTCTCTGTGTGAGGAGGACTCTGAGAGAGGTCTCTGTGAGGCAGTGGGGGGTGCCGTGTGCCATTTCTGGGGCTGGAGGCCGGAGGTTGCAGTGAGCTGCATGAGTCTCTGCATGAGGTCCCTGTTTTATGACTCTGTGTGAAGTCTCTGAGGTCTTTGTGGGGTCTCTGTGTGAGATCTCCCTGTGAGAACCATGGAAGGTCTCTGACATTTGCGGGAGGTCTCTGTGGGACTGAGTGAAGTCTCTCAGCGTGGCCTCTGTGGGGTTCTCTGGGTGAGGACTCTGGGAATCTCTGTGCTAGGTCTCTGTGGGGCACCATGAGGACTCTGAGAGCTCCGTGGGGTCTCTGTGGAGGCTGCAGTGTGTCTCTCTCTGTGGCAGTGAGAGGTCCCCGTGTGCTCACTCTGTATGAGATATCTCTGTGAGGTTCCTGTGGGAGGTCTCCGTGGGTCTCTCCATTGCTGGCCTCGCTGCATGTCATGGGAGACTGAGCTGCAGAAGGGCTAAGGGGTTGTTGTTTCCTGTGTTCTTGCTGGTCTCTCAGCGTTGCCTGTGGCGCTTCTCCTGGCCTGAGCCATGGGCTCCACGTCCAGCTCCTCCACATCCCAGAACTCGCGTCTTGGTTTCCTGAGGGAACCCAGCAGCAGCCAGGCATGGCCCATCCTCAGTGGTCAGGGTCCCAGCTCTGTGCCACACTCTCCTGAGCTCCCGGAGGACCGGGGCTGCTCTCTGCTCCAGGTCCCAGCTCCTCCTGCTGATCCTGGCTCCGCTGTCACCGCTGGGCCCACCTTGGAGGCTGCTTCAGTTATCCGGGCCCCAGAGAGGACCTGGCCCCAGGAGAAGCCACAGGCTGGGGACTGTGCCCACTGCCCCCTGCACCCCGGTGCCGGCCAGTCCCACATGTTGGGGGCAGGGCCATTTCCATTGTCATCTAGATCAGTGGCACTGCCTGGCACTGGCCTCTCCACCATTGAAATGAGGCCCCTGGAAGTGGGCCTCTTGCACGCCTGTATGTGGCACAAGGCAGAGAAAACTCCCTCTAGAGACCTGGCTCCTCCTGTCCATGATTTGTGGAGACCTCCTGCTTTCCCATATGGACAGGGCCCAGAGAGGAGGAAAGCTGTGCTGAAAGCAGAGGGAGACAGCAGGGATGGCTCCTGTCCTGCCCATACCCTGCCCATTCTGGACAGGTCACTTCCAGCTCCCTTGTATGTTCAAATCCTGCCTGCCTGCATCTTCCCTTGCTGGTCTCTGGGACAAGCAAGGATGTCAGGAGCCAGGGGAGATTTGCTGTGTGACCCCAGCTCAGCTGCTGGGCCCTTGTAAGTCGCCACCTTTCCCCAGGGAGCAGTCCTGGGGCTACGTGTATATTAAAGGTCACCAGACTTCGACTCATGCCTGGGGTTCTCTAGTCCTTGCTTTTCCACCTATTGTCAACACATCCTTTAAAAAATTCAATAGGTAGGCCAGGCGCCATGGCTCATGCCTGTAATCCTAGCTCTTTGGGAGGCTGAGGCCAGTAGATCACCTGAGGCAAGGAGTTCGAGGCCAGCCTGGCCAACATAGCAAAACCCCGTCTCTACTAAAAATATAAAAATTAGTCGGGCATGGTGGTGGGTGCCTATCATCTCAGCCACTTGGGAGGCTGAGGCAGAAGAATCGCTTGAACCCAGGGGCCGGAGTTTGCAGTGAGCCAAGATTGCACTACTTCCCTCCAGCCTGGGCAAAACAGTGAAACTCTGTCTCAAAAAAAAAAAAAGTTCAATAGATTATTATGTGCAAGCTTATCGAAGATGTTAAGAAATTCATCTTCCTTATTCACTTTGCCTTCTCACTAATATGGCCCTCTGTGTTGGGGGTAAATGTGGTTTTTCTAGGGGTCTGTGATCTGGGAGCTGGAGCAGAGACAGACCCTGGGGTGTGGCCAGGATGAGACACTAGGCCCCTCTAGGCCTGTCTAAGGGGTTGGAATGTCAGAGTCTCCTGGCTCACGGCACCACTGATGGCTCCCTCACACACGCCACTTTGCCACCTTTTCAATTCTCTGTCTGCATCCCCTGTAGCTCTACAGAGTCCCACCATCAGAAGCCTCTGCACACACAGGCATACCCTACTCCATTCACCCAGAACTACTTCGCTGAAGCTGAGAGACATGTAGGTGAGATAGACAAAGGCCGGTGACCCAGGAGCAGGGTCATTCACTCATCTGGGGCAGGGGAGTTCACGGCCCTCAGCAACCTCCATGAAGGCTGCCCCCCTGACCCCCTAGCCCCCACCTACACATGCACAGAGCTGGAAGGTCTGTCCCCACTGCCACTCCAGAGTGCGAGAAAGGGAGAGGCAGTGGGATGGGGACTCTCTGCTTTGCATGTTGGCTGAGCTAAGAGAGCCCATCTCCATCCCAGCCTTTGTCAGGGAGAGAAGGGGCTTCCCAGGGGCAGACGTTATCTATTCTCCACCAGGATACCCAGGGTCAAGACTTCTCCCACTTCTAAACTCAGGGCCCAGCACTCTCCCACCCAAACTTCCACTATTTTGTGACACATGAAGGTACTCGGCTGTGGCACTTCCTGGAGCCTGCATGGAGATGTTCAGTCCCGTGACATCTCTGCAAACCTTCTCCCTACAGCTGCATGAAGTTTGAGGTAGAGTAAGTAGTGGAAAGATGGGTTGAACCTTATTTCAGAGTGGGACCTTCATAGGTTTTTCTCATCTTGTTTTTAGAATTTTTTGTTGTTTGTGTAAAGACGGTATTACGGAAACATAAGGTTCAGTGAAGGAACTCAGGATGAAGGTGGGCTTACAGCACCACTGTCAACATCCCTCCATGTCCTGTCGCTTCTGGAAACCAAGCCCACACCAAGCATGGCACAAATAAAAGCCATCACCCTCTTATGAATAAAAAACCATATATATTGTGGAATATTAAATGTTCTGCATGTACTAACATGAGAGAAAATATTTTTTCTCTACATAGAGTGAATTTTTTCTTGGGGACTTGTTTTTCTCCAGGGAAGGCTAAAAAAGAATTTGTGACTGACCAAATCAGATACCTTCCCAAAGAAGACAGTGCCTTGGACAGTGGTGATGGTGGCTAGAGGCACCGGATGTCTTCGGCCAGTGCTGAGGGGGACTGACTGGGGATACAGCTTTCTTGGGGTGCAAGATTTGGGGATGTCGCAGGCCCCATTGCTCATTGTTGCACCGCACACTTTTCAAGGGCTGTTGATTTCTGATTTGTCTGTCTCTGTTGGGACAACCCTGGCTCTTGAGAGTGGCTTGTTGACTGCTGGCTGCATAGCTCAGTATTCTGCCGTGTTCTGAGTAGAAGAGGTGCCTGTGGTTGCAGGGAAACCCACAGACTGGGGCTTGAAACTTCTGTTTGTGCTGATTTACCTTCGAGGCATGGCGCGCATGGCAAAGTGACATTTTCTCGTCCAGCATTTGTCCAACTGCCGTCATGAGACCCTGAGCTTCAGCACTGCTGCTGTACACACGTGATCTGTTTTTTACTGTTTTTTGGCTCTCAGCAGTGACTGGTGCTGGCTTGCTTTTTTTCTTTGAAAAAATCCACTGAAAAATTTGCTTGATGTTTTCTCCAAAGGGGCTTACTGAAGGAGGCTGTTTCTTTGATGGCAGTAGCTGGACGCCTTCATCCTGATGGGTGTCTTCTGTTTTCCTGACTGGGGTAAGTTGAGGAGTCCTCAATCCTTCAAGCCTTTCTTCATGTTTTTCTAAGTTGGGTTTCCTAGACTTCTCACTCTTGTGAATAGGGGGAAACATTGGCCTTTGGCTCTTGCATGAGCCTTGACAGTTTGGGTTTCTGGGCTCCTCGTGCACCAGTTTGCTCCTTCTGGCTGCCATGAGGTCATGTAGCTCCTGGGAAGCCCGCATGTTCCCAGTAGGCATGCTCTGGAGATGGCCCTGGGGCACTTGAGAAACCAAATTCTCTGAAGCGTGGGGCACAACAGATGCTTGCCCATCTGGAAGGAGCACAACAGCGGCACAAACTTGAGGCTGGGTCTCTGACTTTGTGGCCATTCCAGGCTCAAATTCATTAACAACCTCCTCCATAAGACACAGCTTTCTTGGATCTTGGGAGACAGACACTCTAGGGTGTAGAGAGCTTTTGCTGGTCCCTGGAGCCTCGAAACCATGCACATCCTCACTTGTGGCTTGGAGGTTTGCCAGCATACAGGTTTCCAAGGGGACTCTGCATTGTGGCACTGCCTCCCTTGTCTCTCCAGCCTTTGAAGATTGGGCTCCTAAGCTCCTGCTCTGCTGGATGCTGCCTGTGAGGCTGTACGTGAGGGGCTTAGATGGCCACCTGCCCTCCTGTCCAGCTGGAGGAGGCTTCAAGGGTTCATGATCATTCCAAGATGGGATTCCTCGCGGTGCCCTCTGGAACTGCTTCCATGCAGGTGAGGAGGCCAGAAGACTCTCTGGCATGTGATCAGATGCTTTGGTCAGCACCTGCTTTCTCAGACTTGCCATTGGTGGCTTTCTAAGGAACATGTCCACCTCAACTTCTGAGCCAGCCCCAGATTCACAGGTGGCTGAGGAGGGACCAGCAAGCTGTGTAAGGGACAAGGATGAAACCTTTTCCAGTTTAAAGCACTGAATGGGCTTGAGGACCCTGAGGGGTAGACCCCACCTGTGTTTGGCCCAAAACCTCACAATATGGGCTCCCAACCCCTGCTGAGTACACGGCTCGAGGAAGGAAAGCACCTGGGCTGTGTTCACACAGGCTTTCCCACTTTTCGGGGCTGCTAGATTGCTGGTTTTCACATGGGTGTTGGACACGGGAAGAGCCTGGTTGACAGCAAGCCAGGATCGACGCACACACACGGGGATCAAGCCCTCGTTGGTCTGGCCCAAGTTCCTGCCCATGTGGGCTTTCAGGATGTTTTCTATATGAGTCCTCTCTGTGCATCTTAATAAATCACTTCCCGAGTCACTCCTCAAGGGCTTCCTCAAGTTCCTTTCCAACTCCTCAGAAGTCACCCCCAGAACCTTCCGTGGGAAGCTTTTCATATCCCTGGATAGATTTTGTGGGGTCTCACCCAGAATTTGCCCCAGATGTGGGCACGGGTCCCTCTCTAGCTGGAACTTCACCTTCTGTGCCTCCTTGCTGCTTTCACCTGTGGACATGGAGGACTGCCAGGGACTGGGTTTGCCCTTGGCCTGACTTGTCCCTGGTGATTCATCCCGAAGCTGCATCAGATCCAGAGACTCTTGGATCCTTCCCAGGTTGCCCCAGTGTTGGATGATCCACTTTTTTATGTGTTGCTCCAGTTGTCTCCGGAGTTCAGGACTGACTGGAAAGTTCTCAGGCAGAATGGATGTCAAACTTTCCTGGGGAAGGTTAGGAGTGGAGACACTAAAGACGTCCTGAGATTTTTGGACCCTAGAGGGTAAAGCCAACCTACCTTCTAGTTGTCTCCTCAACAAAGGCCATTCAGGGTGCTGAGTTTCAGGTAGGGAGAGAGCTTGCACTTTATTCTGCGATGCAGGGCAAGCTACTCCAGTGTTCTGAATCAGGGATGGAAAAGCAGGAGATAGGACTGGGAAAGAAGATTGAAGATGGGCCTGAGCCTCGGCCTGAGCCATAGGTGTGGGCCGGAATTGGGGTGTGGATGAAATAAAGGGTTGGCACTCGGGCCCCAGATGGGACAGGGGCTGGGCCTGGAAAAGCAGTGGGGACATTGTAGTCTCCCTTTGAATTGGGCAGACATTGGACATTTCATTGAACAAGAAAGGAGGAGACTGTAAAGTATAAGACCTGTCAGTTACCCAGGCGTTAGCCACCAGGGACTCGCTGTGCAGAGAGGGGAGGCCCCAGAAAAGCTGGCTATAATTCTTCCAAAAACTTTCCTGCCAGAGCCTAGGATCTGAGAGCTTCTGAGGTCCGGGCAGCTGTTTCGAGTTCTCTCCCATGTTCCAGAAGGGTTTTGGGTTTGTGGTGTCCTGCTCAGCATCCAATGATTTAGCCAAATTCCGCAAATAATTTAAGTGCTTTTCTGGGGTCATTCGATTTGTAAATGATCCAACATTTTCTTTTTCTTCCCAAATGTTGACCTTGGCTGTTTCTGTGACTTGTATCCCCACGACATTCTGGCCATCAGAGCTGAGCAAAAACAGGCTACCAGCTTCCATCTGACAGGTCTCTGGTGGGTGGCGGGAAAGATGATCTTGCTGGACTGATGAGTTAAAGGCGCACGAGGTTCTGGCAGTCTCCTGCCACCGGGAGGAGGCAGAAACATGACTGTTTGAGCCACCAAGGCCTGAGATGGCTGGGACAGAAGCCACCAAATCCTCATGTGGAGACAAGCTTTGAGGGACGGTGCCCAGTGGAAATGCCACTGAGTCACAGTGAGATGGAGTTATCAGTGTGGAGTCCCGCAGGGGAGGAGCAGTGAAGCCTTTTGGAGGAGGCAGAGAGCAGGCCAGAGGATCAGGGGTGTGTGGTGGGTGAGGGAAAAGTGCAGGTGGCTCGGGTGAGGGGTGTTCTAGGGGAAGGGAAGGTTCTGGTGGCTGGGAGGCACTTAGGGAGGAGACTGAGGTGGTCATTGGGCCTGGTGATGGGGTGGAGGCCAGATCCTGAGGATGCTTGGCTTGAGGATCCGGGGAAGCTAACGGGGAGAGAATGGGAGCAGCATCTTCCATAGGCTCATGAGAGGACTGGGAGGCTCCATCAGGTGCTCTTTCACCCACCTCACCTGGGGGGTCTGGACCGGAGAGCTGACCAAAGTCACCTTTGTCAAGGTGTGGCCCCAGGAGGCTGCAGGAGACAGGAGGCACGAGCTGCAGCCAGGAGCCGGTGGGGCCGGAGGGCAGAGTGGGTGCTCGGGCCACAGCCCCTCCACCACCCCACACCCTGATTGCCCAATTCTCCTGCTACCCCTCGCCCCAGGGTTTTACTCCCATCCTCTGTCCCCCTGGTCTCCCCATCCCAGGTCAGCTCCAGGCTGCCTGTGGCCCTGGGGTCACGTCCCAGCCCTGGTAGGAAGGATGCAGGGAAGGGGAAGTGCCTCACCTCTGCAGTTGTGAAAGCAGGTCCGAAGTCTCCTCCAGGCCTCTCGGGCACTCTCTACCAGCTGGAAATCAGGAGACTGGGTTAGGGCAGTGAGGGAGGGGCCTGGGTTCTCACAGGAGGCTGAGTGGCTGTTTCTTTAGGGAGGACCATGGGGAATTAGACCCTGGACCCCACCCATCTGTGTCCAAAGCCACATGACCCCGACGTTAATAGCAAGGCATGGAGGACAAGGCTTTTTCATTCACAAAGGGCTTCCACACACGGACCCCCCACCCCCACAGTCCTCACAACTGCCCTGTGGGGAGAAAGGACTGAGGTGGTCTCAAAGAGGAATCAGCCTTAGCAGAGTTGGACAGCTGTTCCCAGGGAGCGGGAGGCCCCCTCACCCCCCTCCGCATCCAGGCAGGCATTGGTCTCCCCAGGACACACACACTGCCCCCTGCTGGGTAACGCCCAGTCCCTGGCCCACCATGGCTTCATTCCCGCATGGAATCTGAGAAGGACCCGGGGTTCTGATTTCCTTCCTAGGAGCCCCCACCTCAGGCTTCTTCAACTGACTTCTTCAGAGTCAGTTCCCTTCGGGACAGATGAGATCAAATTAACTCTAGTGTGCTCTGGCAGAGCCTTACCTCTCAGACTGTGGTTTTTCATCCTGCCTCTGGGCCTCCGCCTCCGCCCTACTGGACACTGGGAGACACGATGACGTACGGAGACAAGATGACGCAGAGAGACAAGATGACAATGGGAGACAAGAAAGGGTGAGAAGCTAGGACCGGCTCTCCCTCTCTGCCCCAGCCCAGCCGCAGCATGCTGCACTCAGGAACCGCATGGCTCTCTCTGTCTTGCTCAGGGAGCTCTGTGTGCTTCCTCCCACTCTTGTTTAAATGGATGATAAACTGCTTTTCTTCTTAGAAAAACAGCAAGAGGGGGCTGGGCGTGGTAGCTCACGCCTATAATCCAAGCACTTTGGGAGGCCAAGGTGGGTTGATCACCTGAGGTCAGGAGTTTGAGACCAGCCTGGCCATGGTGAAACCCCGTGTCTACTAAAAATACAAAAATTAGGCAGGCATGGTGGTGGGCGCCTGTAATCCCCAGCTATTCAGGACTCTAAGACAGGAGAATCGCTTGAACTCAGGAAGCAGAGGTTGCAGTGAGCCGATATCACTCCATTTCACTGCAACCTGCACCACAGAGCGAGACTCCATCTCAAAAAATAAAATAAAATAAAATAAAATAAAATAAAATAAAATAAAATAAAATAAAAATAACACACACAAATAAAATAAAAATACACACACACACACACACACACACACACACACAGAGGGATTTTCAATATGAGGTCCACCACGGACACCTTCAGTCCCTGTTCCTCTGCTCCAGGAACACCCAAGTTCAGGCCCGCAGGCACTGCTGAGCTATCAGGTAGGATTCTGCTTCCCAGAAGACCAGAGGAGACACCAGGCCCTGGTGGGAGGCCCTCAGGGGCCCAGCACAGGCCCCAGATCACCCCACACAGGGGAGGCTGGGCCCTGAGCCACCTGCACCAGAAAGGGGCTGATGAGCCAGGGCTCAGGGCCTGGTCTCGGACAGAGACCTCCCCAGTCTCATGACTGGTACTGGTGCTGAGTCCACTGGTTTGATTTTGCCTTGATGCCTCCTGTGCTCCCCCACAGATGGACTGAGAGCTTGGGATGGAAATCCCAGTACACTATCTACCCCTACCAACCCCTGGCTGCCCTGCCTCTCCCTGGAAGGATGATGTTCTGGTCTCTTCTGAGACTTCCCATCATAGAAGGCTCTCCACTGGATTTGGAAAAGTGGAACTAATAATAAAAAGAAAGGAGAGAATCAAGCTCTGTGGGTTGGGACTGAGGGTTCCTTACCTTTCTCTTCCCAGGCGATGGTGAGGGTGGGTCATCACAACGGAAGTAAGATAAGTAGGGGAGTAATAGGAAGAAGAACCCCAGGGCAAACACCAAAGTGAGGAAGATATCCAACACCCATGGTGTGGAACTGGGGGCGTTTAGCGATGAGGCACTAAGTAATTTTAAAGGAAAGGGAAGATTCTCCATGTGAATAGGCGCGTTGCTTTCAAGCAACTGAGCTCTGGGCATCCCCGTGGGGACTAGGGACTGGGGCCCAGGCCTGCGTCACAGAGGTGGGGCCTTGATGTCACAAAGGGCTCCTTTGTTGGGGAGGGGCAGTGGGAGGGGGAGGCGCAGAGGGAGGGGGAGGTGCAGCAGGAGGGGGAGAGGGAGGGAGAGGGGCAGGGGAGGGGGAGACTGAAGCACAGCCCCTCCCCACCCCCCAAGCTGGGGATCCCTCCACCATCCCACCTTCTAGATCCCTCCTTCCCACTAAGTTTTGTCAGTGATAGCCAATTTTCTATTCTTTCTCCCTGGAATATAGATATTACCTGGTTCCTTTTATCTGTTGGAGACGGTGGCTTGAGGTTACCTATTTTATAGCCCTTGAAAATCTGAAGTTCTGAAATTTTGGCTATGTACCAGGGATTTTTATTCTCAGAATCTCGTTCATCCTCAACTCCAGCTTTTCCACACTATGTTTTTGTCTTGTATCAATCCAGGGACAAAATGTAAATTTCTTTTACTCTTATTTAGTTTTGCAAATTTTGAATAGTAAGTTTTAAAAAATTATTTCTATCTCACTTTCAATCAAAGGGAACTACCCACATACAATTAAGATTTTTTTTTTTGTCTTTTAAAATTTTATTTGTGTACTTATGTATTTATTTTATTTTAACTTTCGGGATACATGTGCAGGACATGCAGTTTTCTTACATAGGCAAATATGTACCATGGTGATTTGCTGCACCTATCAACCCATCACTTAGGTATTAAACCCAGCATGCATTAGCTATTTTTCCTGATGCTCTCCCTACCACCGGCCCTCCCTCGACAGGTGCCAGGGTGTGTTGTTTCCCTCCCAGTGTCCATATGTTCTCATTGTTCGGCTCCCACTTGTAAGTGAGAACATGTGGTATTTGGTTTTCTGTTCCTGTGTTAGTTTGCTGAGGATAATGGCTTCCAGCTTCATCCATGTCCCCGCAAAGGACTTGATCTCATTCCTTTTTATGGCTGCATAGTATTCCATGGTGTATATGTACCACATTTTATTTATCCAGTCTATCATTGGTGGGCATTGGGTTGATTCCATGTCTTTGCTATTGGGAACAGTGCTGCAATAAACATACACGTGCATGTATCTTTGTAATAGAATGATTTATATTCCTTTGGATATGCAATAATGGTATATCTGCCACAGCCTCTGTACTGCACTGTGGGGAATTCTGCCCAGCGCAAACCACCCAGTCTCCCTAGCACTGGTGGGGGAAAACCACCGGCTAGACCCGCAGTAATGGCGGTCACCCTTCCCCCCAGGAACTTGGTCTTCTTAGGCAGACTCCAGGTGCTGTGCTAGCCAGTGGGGATTCCATGCCAGTGGGTCTTAGCTTGTGGGGTTCTGTGGGAGTGGGTCTGCTTGGCTCCCTGGCTTCAGCCCTCTTCTCATGGGAGTTGATGGATCTCCTGCTTCACTGGATTTCTGCGAGCCACCAGAGTACGCAGAAACTCCTACAGCTCAGTACCTGCCCAAGTGGCTGCCAGCTGGAGCCCCTGCTATGGGTCTGCACAGCTTTGTGCTTGGGACCCAAGGCCCTGGTGGTGTGGACTCACAAAGGGATTACCTGTTCTGGGGTTTGCAAAAATCTGTGGGTAAAGCACAGTTCTCCGGGTGGGTAGCACAATCCCTCACTGCCTCCCTTGGCTGGAGGAGGGAGGTCTCTTTGCCCTGTGTAGCTCTTGGGTGAACTGTCGCCCAACTCTGCTTTTCCTTGCTCTCCATGGGTCACACCAACTGCCTAGTCAGTCCCAATGAGGGAATCTGGATACCTCAGTTAGAAATGCAGAATTCACTCGCTGTTTATGTTTGTCTCAGTGGGGGCTGTAGAGTAGAGCTGTTTCTACTCAACCATCTTGGCCCCTCCCCCCAATTAAAATAATTAATATTCAAAATTTGTAATTCTAATTATGAAACAGTTATAAGTAGTTAAACCTTCAAGTGGTATTTCTGTAAATGTGTAGCATTTACAGTTCTGGACTTGGTAATGCTTAAAGTGCACGATAACTTATGGGACTGCTACATAGGCATACCTCAGAGATACTGTGGGTTTGGTTTCAGGCCACTGTGGAGATGAGCTCTTTAGGGCAGTGCCCAATGGAAGTGCCATTGAGTCACATTGAGACGGAGTCAGAATGCAGTCCAGCAGTGGGGGAGCAATGAAGGCTTTTGGAGGAGGTGGAGGGCAGGCCAGACAATGGGGGTGGGTATGATGGGTGAGGGGAAAATGCAGGTGGCTTGGGTGAAGGGCGTTCTAGGGGAAGGGAAGATTCTGGTGGCCAGTTCTGCAATAAAACAAATATGGCAATAAGGCAAATCACACAGAATTTTTGGTTTCTCAGTGCATATAAAAGTTAGGTCTATACTATACTGTAGTCTATTAAGTGGGCAATACCATTATGTATAAAAAAGTCAATGTACATACCTTAGTCAAAAATTATTTTACTGTTTAAAAATGCTATCGATCACCTGAGTCTTCAACATCATGATCTTTTTGCTGGTCAGTGGCCTTGCCTCAGTGTTGTGGCTGCTGACTCATCATGGTGGAAGCTGCTGGAGGTGAGGTGGCTGTGGCAATTTCTTAAAATAAGACAACAATGAAGTTTGCTACATCAGTTGACTATTTCTTTCAAGATTCCTCTGTAGCATGCAATGCTGTTTGACAGCATTTTACCCACAGTAGAGCTTCCTTCAAATCGGAGACAATCCTCTCAAACCCTGCCACTGCTTTATCCACTAAGTTTATGCAATTTTCTAAATACTCTGTTGTCATTTCAACAAGGTTCACAGCATCTACACCTGGAGTAGTTTCCATCTCAAGAAACCACTTTCTTTGCTCATCCAAGTTCTCATTTGTTAAAATTTTGTCATGAGATTTCAGCAATTCAGCCACATCTTAAGTTCTCTTCACATCTTTTAATCTTAGTTCTCTTGCCATTTCCACCACGTCTGCAGTTACTTCTTGCACTGAAGTCTTGAACCCTCAAAGTCATCCATGAGGATTGGAATCAACTTCTTCCAAATTTCTTTTAATATTGATATTTTAACCTCCTCCCATGAATCACAAATGTTCTTAATTTTAACCTCCTCCCATGAATTGCAAATGCTTCTAGAATGGTGAAACCTTTCTAGAAGGTTTTCAACTTACTTTGCCCAGATCTATCGAAGGAACTACTATACATGGTGGCTACAGCCTTATGAAATGTATTTCTCAGATAATCAGCCTTGAAAGTCTAAATTACTCATTGATCCCTGGGCTGCAGAATGGATGTTGTATTAGCAGGCATGCAAACAGCTTTAATTTTCTTGTAGTTCTCCATCAGAGCTCTTGGGTGACCAGGTAAATTGTCAATGAACAATAATATTTTGAAAGAGATCTTTTTTTAAAGCAGTAGTTCTCAGGTGTGAGCTTAAAATATTCATGTCGTAACAGATGTGATGTCATTCAGGCTTTGTCCCATTTATAGAGCACAGGCAGAGTAGATGTAGCATAGTTCTTAAGGGCCCTAGAATTTTCAGAATGGTAGATGAGCTTTGGCTTCAGCTTAAGCCCCTAACAAAAGAGTCATCCTGTTCTTTGAAGCATTGAAGTCAGGCATTTATTTTGCTACCTGGCTGTAAAAGTCCTGGATGACATCCTCTTCCAATATAAGGCTGTTTTATCTGCAATAAAAAGCTTTGTTTAGTGTAGCCACCTTTGTTGCTTCTCTTAGCTGATCTTATGGATGACTTGCTGCAGCTTCTACATCAGCACTTGCTGCTTTTCCTTGCACTTTTATCTTATGGAGAAGACTTCTTTCCTTAAACCTCATGAACCAATCTCTGCTAGCTTCAAACTTTTTTTCTGTGGCTTCCCAACCTCTCTCAGCCTTCAGAGAATTAAGAAGAATTAGGTCCTTGCTCTCGATTAGGGTTTGGCTTAAGGAAATGTTGTGGTTGGTTTGATCTTCTATCCAAACCACTCAAACCTTCTCCATATCAGCGATAAGTCTCTTTCACTTTCATACCACTCATGTGTTCATTGGAGTAATACTTTTA
Organism: Homo sapiens; assembly: GCF_000001405.40. Classification (NCBI taxonomy): domain Eukaryota; kingdom Metazoa; phylum Chordata; class Mammalia; order Primates; family Hominidae; genus Homo; species Homo sapiens. The sequence continues at coordinate 61,185,959 of NC_000009.12, read as the reverse complement.
ATTTCCTTCAAGAACTTTTTCTTTTCATGCACAGTTTGGCTGTTAGGTGCAGGATGCCTAGTTTTTGGCCTGTTTCAGCTTTTAACATGCCTTCCTCACTCACCTTAATCATTTCTCACTTTTGATTTAAATAAGAGATGTGTGACTCTTACTTTCACTTGAACACATAGAGGCCTTTGTAGAGTTATTAATTGGCCTAATTTCAATATTCCTGTGTCTCAGAAAACAGGGAGACCTGAGGAGTTGGGGGGATGGAGGAAGGGCAGATCGATGGAACCATTCAGACACACATATGTATCAATTAGGCTCATTGTCTTTTGGAGCATGGTTTGTGATGCCCCAAAACAATGACAATAGTAATATCAATGATCACTGATCACACATTACCGTAACAGATATAATAATAACAAAACATTTGAAATATTGCAAGAATTACAAAAATGTAACACAGAGATACAAAATAAGCACATGCTACCAGAAAAGTGGCACTGGTAGACTTGCTTGATGCAGGGTTGCCATAAACCTTCAACCTGTAAAAAATGCAATATCCAAGAAGCATAATAAAGTGAAGTGCAATAAAACAAGGTAAGCTTGTATATGTATGCATGCACACACCAGTACGCATCCACCTATCCACACACAAATCTTTGTACAAACAAATCCTGTATTTTCAATTCCAACAATACATCATTTGCACCTTAAAAATATCTGTCAACCTTGTAGTATCTTTTCTGTCTTTGTTATCAGGGTAATGCTGGCCTCATAAAAAATGTTTGTATTCCCTCCTCTTCAACTTTTGGAAGAGTTTGTGAAGAAATGGTACTAATTCTTCTTTAAACATTTGCTAGACTTCTCCACTAAGCTATCTGGTCTTGGATTTTCCTTTTTCAGGAGCTTTTTGACCACTGACTCAATATTTTTACTCATTATTTGTGTTGATTTTCTATTTCTTCATGTTTCAATCTTAGGGGATGTATGTTTCTAGAAATTTCTCTATTTCTTCTAAGTTAAACAATTTGTTGACACATAGTTGTTTAGACTGTTATTATCCTTTGTATTTCTATGGTACCAATTTTAATATCTGCTTTTTTGTTCTAATTTTATTTATTTGAGGCTTCTCTCTTTTTTCTTAGCCTAGTGAAAGGTTGCTCAATTTTTATTATTTTTATTTTATTTTATTTTATTTTTTTGAGACTCAGTCTGGCTCTGTCTCCCAGGCTGTAGTGCAGTGGCGCAATCTCCGCTCACTGCAAGCTCTGCCTCCTGGGTTCATGCCATTCCCCTGCCTCAGCCTCCCAAGTAGCTGGGACTACAGGCGCACGCTGCCCGGCTCTGCTAATTTTTTGTATATTTAGTAGAGGCGGGGTTTCACCATGTTAGCCAGGATGGTCTTGATCTCTGACCTCGTGATCTGCCCGCCTCCCAAAGTGCTGGGATTACAGGCATGAGCCACCGCGCCCAGCCATTATGTTTTCAAAAAATCAGCTTTTTGTTTCATTGATCTTTTCTATTGTTTTTCTAGTGTATTTCATTTACTTCTGCTATCATCTTTGTTATTTCCTTCCTTCTTCTAATTTTGGGCTTCATTTTTTTTCTTTTCTATTTCTTTGAGGTTTATTGTTTATTTGAGATCTTTTTTCTTCATTTAGCACTTAACCTGTATAAACTTCCCTGTTAGAATTGCTTTTGCTTCATCTCATAAGTTTTAGTATGTTGTGCTTTCATTTTAGTTTGTCTCAAGATATTTTATTTCTTTTTTGATGTTTTCTTTGATCTATTGGTTGCTCAGGAGTGTGTTGGTTGATTTCCACATATTTGTCACTTTTCTAAGTTTTCTCCTGTTTTTAATTTTCAGTTTCATGCCACTGTGGTCAAAAAGAATACTTGATAAGATTTCAATCTTCTTAAATTTGCTAAGACTTGTTTTCTGGCCCAATATATGACCTGTGTAGGAGAATGTACTGTGTATGCTCAAGAAGAATGTGTATTTTGCTGTTTTGGAAAGTAATGTCCCGTATATGTCTGGTCCATTTGATCTATAGTGTAGTTCAAGTCATCTGTTTCCTTATTGATTATCTGTCTGAGTGATCAATCCATTGTTGAAAGTGGGATATGGAAGTCCCCAACTGTTATTGTATTATTGTTGTCACTTCTCTCTTCAGATTTGTTAATATTTGCTTTATACAATTAGGTGTTCCAATGTTGGGAGAATATATATTTGTAGTAATTATATCCTCTTGATGAATTGACCCTTGTATCATTCTATAATGACTTTCTTTCCCTCTTGTTACAGTTTTTGACTTAAAGTCTATTTTGTTTGTTGTAAGAATAGCTACTCTTTCTTTTTTTTGTTCCCTGTCTTTCCTTTCAGTCTATGTGTGTCTCTAAAGGTGAAGTGAATCTCTTATAGGCGGCATATATTTGGTTATTGTTTTACTGTCCATTCAGCCACTCTGTGTCTTTTCTAATTTGGTCCACTGATATTTAAAGTAACTATTGATAGGCATTTTGCAGTTTCTTTGTTCTTTTATTTCTCTCTTGCTGTGCATGATTTGATTATTTTGATTATTTTCTGTAGTGGTATACTTTGATTCTTTTCTGTGTCTTTGTATTAATTCTTTTTTAAACGTGGTAAAATTTTCATTTGTGTAACTATTACATGTTTTGTCTTTGTGATTATCCTGAGGCTTCCATAAAACTTCATATGCTCTCATGTGCCACATAAGGATGTTTTGGTCAATGATGGGCCACATATACAACGGTGGCCCTGTAAGGTTATAACATTTTTATTGTATCTTTTATATGTTTAGATACATTTGGATACACAAATGCTTATCATTGTATTATAATTGCCTATAGCATTCAGTATAGTACAATGCTGTACAGATTTGTAGCCTGGAAGCAATAGGTTATACCATATAGCCTGGGTGTGTAGTAGGTGGTATTATCTAATTTCGTGTAAGTATACTCTATGATATTCACACCATGACAAAATTGCATAATGAGGCATTATTCAGAACATATCCACATTAAGAAATGTATGATTATAGTTATAATGGTCTATTTTAAGTTGATAACAACTTAACTTCAAGCATATACAAAACCCTACACTTTACTCCCCTCCACTTTTTATGTTTTTTTGATGTCAGCTTTTATTTCTTTGTTTATTTTGTAGTTATATTTATTTGTAATATTTTTTTGTCTTTTAACCTTTTAAAAGTTAAAGTGATTATACTCCATCATTACAGTATTAGGAATATTTTGAATTTGACTGTATAGTTACTTTTACTGGTGACTTTTTATAACTACATATGTTTTCGTGATGCTAATTAGTCTTATTGCATTTCAGTTTGAAGAACTCCCTTTAGAATTTCTTATAAAGCAGGTCTAGTGACAATGGACTCCCTTAGATTATTTTGGGGGGTTTCTGAAAAAGTCTGTAAGTCCTAGCCAGAGCAATTAGGTAAGAAAAAGAAATAAAAGGCATCCAAACTGGAAAAGAAGTGAAAGTGTCTCTATTTGAAGATGACATGATCTCATATAGAGAAAATTCTAAAGGCTCCAATTAAAAACTGTTAAAATTAAGAAACAAGCAAATTTGCAGAACACATAATTAACATTAAAAAAAACCTGTTACGTTTTTATATACTAATAGTTGAGTATCCCAGAAAGAAATTAACAAAACAATCTCGGGCCGGGCACAGTGGCTCACGCCTGTAATCCCAGCACTTTGGGAGTCTGAGGTGGGCAGATCACAAGGTCAAGAGATCGAGACCATCTTGGCTAACATGGAGAAACCCTGTCTCTACTAAAAATACAAAAAATTAGCTGGGCGTGGTGGCAGGAGGCTGAGGCAGGAGATTGGTGTGAACCCGGGAGTCAGAGCTTGCAGTGAGCCAAGATCACACCACTGCACTCCAGCCTGGGCGACAGAGTGAGAGTCCATCTGAAAGAACACAATCTCATTTACAATAGCATCAAAAAATTAACTACTTAGGAAGAAATTTAAATAAGACAGTAAAATTTGTATATACCAAAAACTATAAAACACTGATGAAAGAATTTGAAGAAGATACATATCCCTATTACTCAGCGCGATCTATAGATATAAAGCAACCCCATCAAAATTTCAATGGCATTTTTCAAAGAAATGGAAAAAAGCAGTTCTAAAATTTTTATGCAACCTCAAATGACCCCAAACAGTCAAAACATCCTTCAGCAGAAAAAACAAAAGTGGAAGCATCACATTACCTTATTCCAAACTAAATTATAAAGCTGTAGTAATCAAAATAGTATGCTACTAGCATAAAAACAGACATGTAGGCCAAGGGAACAGAATAGAGAGCATAGAAAGAAATAAATCCATGACTTTACAATCAATTGATCTCTAGCATTGGTGCCAAGAGTACACAATGATAAAATTTAGTCTCTTTATTAAATGGTGTTGGGAAAACTGGATATCCACATGCAGAAGAATGAAACTGAACCCTTATCTCACTGTACATACAAAAATTGTCTCAAAATGGATGAAAGACCTCAACAAAGGACCAATATTGTAAGACTCTTAGATATAAATATCGGAGAAAAGCTCCTTGATACTGGTATTGGTAATACATTTTCAGATTTGATACCAAAAGTATAGACAACAAAAGCAAAACTAGACAAATGGGAGTAAATCAAACTAAAAGCTTCAGCGCAGCAAAGGAGACAACCAATACAATGAAAAGATAACCTAAAGAATGGGAGAAAATATTTACACACTATACATCTGATAAGAAGTTAATATCCAAATAAATTAGGAACTCAGACCATTCCAAAGGATCTTGTATTGGTCTGTTTTCATGATGCTGATAAAGACATACCAGAGACTGGGTAATTTATAAAGAAAAAGGTTTGGCCAGACACGGTGGCTCACGCCTGTAATCCCAGCACTTTGGGAGGCCGAGGCAGGCAGATCATGAGGTCAGGAGATTGAGATCATCCTGGCTAACATGGTGAAATCCTGTCTCTATTAAAAATACAAAAAATTAGCCAGGTGTGGTGGTGGGTGCCTGTAGTCCCAGTGACTTGGGAGGCTGAGGCAGAAGAATGGCGTGAACCTTGGAGGTGGAGCTTGCAATGAGCAGAGATCACACCACTGCACTCCAGCCTGGGTGACAGAGCCAGACTCCATCTCCAAAAAAAAGAGGTTTAATGGATTCACAGTTCCACGTAGCTGGGGAGGCCTCACAATCACAGTGGAAGGTGAAAGGCATGTCTTACATGACAGCCAGCAAGACAGGATGAAAGCCAAGCAAAAGGGGAAACCCGTTATAAAGCAATCAGATCTCATGAGACTTATTTACTACCATGGGAACAGTATGGGAGAAACTGCCCCCATGATTCAATTGTCTTCCACCAGGTCCCTCCCACAACATGTGGGAATTATGGGAACTACAATTCAAGAGGAGATTGGAGTAGGGACACAGCTGAATCATATCATTCTGCCCCAGCTCCTCCCAAATTTCATATCTTCACATTTGAAAACAAATTATGCCTTCCCAACAGTCCCTCAACATCTTAACTAATTTCAATATTAACTCAAAAGTCCACAGTCCAAAGTCTTATCTGAGACAAGGCAAGTCCCTTCGAGCTATGAACTCATAAAGTTAAAAGCAAGTTAGTTACTTTCCAAATACAATGGAGGTACAGGGAGCAGGTAAACATACCTGTTCCAAATGGGTGAATTTGGCCAAAACAAAGAGGCTACAGGCCCCAAGTCCAAAATCCAGCAGGCCTGTCAAATCTTAAAGCTCCAAAGTGAACTCCTTTGACTCCATGTCTCACATCCAGGTCACACTTATGCAAGAGGTGGGCTCCCATGGCCTTGGGCAGCTCCACCCCTGTGGCTTTGCAGGAAATAGCCCCCCTCTTGGTTGCTTTCATGGACTGGCATTGTCTGTAGCCTTCCTGTGTGCATGATCAAGCTTTTGGTGGCTGTACCATTCTGGGGTCCGGAGGACAGTGGTCTTCTTCTCACAGCTCCAGTAGGCAGTACCTCAGTGGGGACTCTGTGTGGGGGCTTCAACCCCATATTTCCCTTCTGCACTGTCCTAGCAGAGGTTTTCCATTAGGGCACCACCCTTGCAGCAAAATTCTTTCTGGACATCTAGGAGTTTCCATACATCCTCTGAAATCTAGGCAGAGATTCCCAAACCTCAATTCTTGACTTCTGTGCACCCACAGGCGCAACACCATGTGAAACTGCCAAGGTTTGGGGCTTGCACCACCTGAATCCACAGTCCAAGCTGTACCTTGGACCCTTTTAGCCATGGCTAGAGTAGCTGGGATGCAGGGCATCAAGTCACTAGGTGGCAAACAGCAGGGGGCCCCTGAATCCAGCCCAGGAAACCATTTTTTCCTTTTAGGCCTCTTGGCCTGTAATGGGAGGGACTGCTGCAAAGGTCTCTGACATGTCCTGGAGATATTTTCCCCATTGTCTTGGTGATGAACATTTGGGTCCTTGTTGCTTATGCAAATTTCTGCAGCTGGCTTGAATTTCTCCTCAGAAAATTGGTTTTTCTTTTCTATCACATCGTTTGGCTGCAAATTTTCCAAAGTTTTATGCTGTTTCCTTTTAAAACTGAATGCTTTTAACAGCACCCAAGTCACCTCTTGAGTGCTTTGCTGCTTAGAAACTTATTCTGCCAGCTACCCTAAATCATCTCCCTCAAGTTCAAAGTTCCACACATCTCCAGGGCAGGGGCAAAATGCTGCCAGTCTCTTTGCTAAAGCATAGCAAGATTTTCCTTGACTCCAGTTCCCAACAAGTTCCTCATCACTATCTGAGACAACCTCAGCCTGAATTTCATTGTCCATATCATTATTAGCATTTTGGTCAAAGCTAGTCAACAAATCTCTAGGGAGTTCCAAACTTTTTCACATTTTTCTGTCTTTTTCTGAGCCCTCCAAACTGTTCCAACCCCTGCCTGTTACCCAGTTCCGAAGTTGGTTCCACATTTTTGGATAACTTTACAGCAGCACCCCACTCTACCAGTACCAATTTACTGTATTCATCTGTTTGCATGCTGCTGATAAAGGCATACCAAAGACTGTGTGATTTATAAAGAAAAAGAGGTTTAATGGACTCACAGCTCCATGAGGCTGGGGAGGCCTTACTTATGGTGGGAGGCTAAAGGCACATATTACACAGCAGCAGGCAAGACAGAATGAAAGCCAAGTGAAAAAGGAAATCCCTTATAAAACAATCGGATCTTGTGAGGCTTATTTACTACCACAAAAACAGTATGGGGAAAACCGCTCCCATGATTCAACTATCTCCTACTGGGTCCCTCCCATAACACATGGGAATTATGGGAGCTACAATTCAACATGCGATTTGGGTGGGGACGCAGCCAAAGCATATCAGACCTGAAGAGATACATTTCTAAAGGACATACGATTGACAATAGGTATATATTAAGAAAAAGATGTTTGCCATCACTAATCATCAGGAAAATGCACAATGAGATATCACCTCACATCTATTAGGATGGCTTTTATAACAGTAAAAAGGTAACAAATGTTGCTGAGGATATTGAGAAACAGAAACCCTTGTGCTTAGTTGATAGTTGATGGGAATGTAAATTGGTACAGCCATTACAGACAACAGTATGGAGTTTCCTCAAAAAATTAAAAATGGAACTCCCATATAATCCAGCAATCTCACATCTGGGTATATATCCAAAGTAAAGAAAATCACTATCTCAGAGAGATATATATACTTACATGTTTATTACAGTGTTATTTACACAGCCAAGGTATGGAAACTACCTGTGTCCATTGACAGATGAATGGATGTTTTAAATGTATTACACACACACACACACACAGACACACACACATATGTAATGGAATATCATTTAGCCTTTAGAAATGAGGAAATACTGCCATTTGTAACGAGATGGATAAACCTGGAGTTTATTATGGTAAGTAAAATAAGCCAGGAACAGATGCAAAAAAATCCTGCATGATTTCACTTATATGCATACTAAGAAAATGTCAAACTCATGGTAACAGAGTAAAATAGTGCTTACTAGGGCCTGGGAGTTGGGGGAAAAGAAAAAATGTTTGTCAGAAAGTACAAACTTTCAGTTATAAGATGAATAAGTTCTGCACATCTAATGTACAGCATAGTGACTAAAGTCAATAATAATGTATACTTGAAATTTGCTGAAAGAGTAGATCTCAAGTGTTCTCCACCACACAAACACAAATAAAAAGGTAACCAGGTGAGGTGATGAATATGTTAGCTTGATTGTGGTAATCATCACTTCACAATGTATATGTATATCAAAATATCACACTGCATACCTTAACTATATACAATTTTTCTTTGTTAATCAATAAAACTGGCAAAAATATCTTTTACATGTTGCCTTGACTCCATTTCTTATTTTGTCAAAATAGATAGTCCTCACTGTTTGCATAAGTTTAGAAACTTGTGCTACATCCAGAAGTCAGGAGTGCGGTAGGGTGAACTAAGTTACTGATTCTTTAGGAACCTTAGGGTGTGAGGTGGGACTGGAGTTCAAGGTCTAGGAGCTCAGTCTGGTCTTGAGCAGCTTCTTTTTTATTTTGTTTTGTTTTGCTTTGAGACTGGGTCTCACATTCTTTCCCAGGCTGGAGTGCAGTGGCAAAATCTGGGCTCTCTGTAACCTCCGTCTCCCGGGCTCAAGCAATCCTCTCACCTCAGCCTCCCATGTAACGGGAACCACAGGCATGTGCCACTATGGCTAGCGAATTTTTTTGTATTTTTGGTAGAGATGGGGTTTCCCTTGCTGCCCAGGCTGGTCCTGAACTCCTGAGCTCAGGTGATCCACCCACCTTGGCCTCCCATAGTGCTGGGATTACAGGTATGAGCCACCATGCCTGGCCATGAGCAGCCTCTTCTGATATCCCTAGTGTGTTCTGTACACATTTTCTTTGTCTGAATGCGCCTTTCCTTTCTCTCTATTGGTCTACAGATTTTTTCCTTCTTTAGGATATTATTAACTTGAATTCAAATTTTTATCAAAAATTGGACCTAGCTCTTTTTATTCATATTTTCCTGCTATATTTTTTACACTAATTTATTTTCGATAGGTTTTATTGAGTGTTTTTTTGACACTTAAAAATTTTACCTCACAATCTTAACCTTTGATTTATGTAATTATTGTTCCATTATGAGTTATTTCTGTCATCTCATTTTATGATTTTTCATACTTTCTTTACTGTTTATTTTTTCCTATTGTACCTTTCACTCTATAGATCAAATCTTTTTCTATTTGTTTGAAATCTGGAAATTTTTAACATTGTAATGGTGGTTATATCATTATTTATGTTAATTTTCTCAATTTCTGATATGTGTCAAAATTAATATCATCTCAGCAAACAAGATAAGTGCTCTAGCCTCCTCTTGCCACCTCTGGTTTGCTTTCTCTGTTACGACAGCACTTTGTCTAAGGGGGTGCTTTCTGAAGTTTACTTGGGGTTGTTTTCAATATGTTATGTTTTCATTTATTTTTTAGAGTATGATAAACACCACTACCATTGATTCTGGAACCCTCAATTCTAACACCACGGTGTATTTCTCTTCTTAGTGGAGTATGACCTCTAAGCATTTTCAAAGGGATTTATTTGAAATAAAACTTTTGAGGCCTTACTTTTTAATGTCTTTTTCTGGGCTTTCATATTTAAAAGATTGTGGCTGCAAATAATTCAAGGATTAAAATTGGTTTCCTTTTAATCCTTGAAAAATATTACTTCATTTTATTCTTGTCTCCAGCATTGCTGTTGGAAAGGCTGACACCAATCAAAACCAATTTTTCCCTAAAGGATGATCTGTCTTCTCATCATTTTGACAGGATGTAACAAAACAAAGGAGTCTTCAATGTTCTGAGTATAAATCATTTTGCAATTATAAACTTAACTTAATATTAATGCAATACAAAAAGAATTAAAACCTTCTTGAGACATGCAAGTGCACAGGAAAATTAAGTATCATGCACTCATTCAGGAAGAAAAGGTGCAAAAGAAATTTAATGAAAGAGATGGTCGTTAGATGCAAGTGTGGCTGAATGTAGGGATGCGATGCTGACACGTGGCAGCAGGCCTGGCAAGCTGTCTATCCCAATTCAACTACTTCAGAAAGAGAAGAATATTAACTAGGCTATCTTGGTGATGTGCTGAAAAAAGTGCTGTGTTTCCTTTTTAATCATTCAAAACAAAGGTAGTAAAATTCCCGGGAAATAAGAAATAATGCATCATAAATGTATAAAAGTTGAGGAAAATACTATATTTTTATGAATTTAAAATGCCATCTCATTTAGATTGTTATGTCTTTTCAGAAGTGCTTTAAAATTGATGGCACATAGTAAAAAATGGCATAAATTCCAACAATTAATGGAAAAACATTAATCCATCTTCTTGAGTCTTGGAACCAGGATTCTTTTGGGAGGCTTCGGTGTATCTGTGTATCATTTCATTGCCTTCACACAAATCAAATCACGCCACCTGCGACTGTGGTTTGAAAAAAAAAGAAAACATAATAATGATGCTGTCAATTCACTTGAGATTCCATGATCAAAATTAACCTACGAACAAAGCACAGACTTTATTATAATTACAAAATAGGATGTAATTTACATAAAATGTGAAAATATAAGCATAGAACGAAATTTGATACAAGTCGAAAGCTATGACAGGGACTGTTGGAGGGGAGGGAAGTTGTACACTAATCTCCACATCCTACTGAGCCAATCAGTGGTGTTCAAATTGGATGGACCATATATTATCTAAACAGTATATTATTTAAGCAAAGAATTAAGCACTGTAAGTATATTATTTAGAGAAAGCAAATTTTTAAAAAATCCCATAAAATTATATATTAAAGACTAAATTGGAAATATAGTTTTAGAAGAAGAAAGTAGGGTAAATGAGCTATATTCTCTACCGTTCATAAAAAGTCAAGGGATATTACTTAAAATTGTTAAAACAAAATTAGGTGATTGTATAATATTATTTACAGTTCAAGAGAATAGCATATAGTAAAAAAAGAAAATGATAAACCTTGCCTAACTCTGAAAAACAGGACCAAGGTCTATGGAAGGAAAAAAAAAAGTTTCTGGTTTTCACTGGTTTTTTGCCCATCAAACTGTTTGAATGATTTTCAATGCACATGTGTTGGTTTAATTTTAAAATGTTCTTACTTACAGATCCCCTTGAATTACGTGTAAAATTAGGTTTCCTTTAGTCAATGGTGTATGAAAAGTAATCAACTCATCTAATTGAAGTTAGACATTAATAAATAATAAATTGGGGAGAACATAAATATACTCATTAAAAACAACCAGAACATAGCACTTGGCTCTATGTTCTGCTTATCTAGGAAGTGGAATTCTTAAAATTAAAACAAAATAATAAGGAGCTTCACATTTTCTTTTTCTTCTTTTTTTTTTTTTTTTTTTTGAGATGGAGTCTTGCTCTGTTGCCCAGGCTGGAGTGCAGTGGCACGATCTTGGCTCACTGCAACCTTCACCTCCCGGGTTCAAGCGATTCTCCTGCCTCAGCCTCCCGAGTAGCTGGGACTACATGTGCGCATCACCACGCCCAGCTAATTTTTGTATTTTTAGTAGAGACGGGGTTTCACCAGATTGGACAGGATGGTCTCGATCTCTTGACCTTGTGATCCACCTGCCTCGGCCTCCCAACGAGCTGGGATTACAGGCATGAGCCACTGCACTTGGTTGGAGTTTCACATTTTCTGAAAAATGTTAGAAATAAAAATGTAAGTGTTTCACTTAGATAAAGCTCTCATAATCACTGGTAGACTAAAGTCAATTTAGATTACCATTTATATTTTCAAATTTATAATATGACCAATATTGCCATCAAAATGTTCAGGCACAGAATGGTTTAAAGTAGCTGTCTTATTATTTCTCAATATTCTCTTTTCTTCTATGATTGGCATCACCAATCATGGTTGGAGCATCTTTTTTTTATTTTATTTTTTATTTTATTTTATTTATTTATTTTGAGACGGAGTCTCACTGTATTGCCCAGGCTGGAGTGCAGTGGCGTGATCTCGGCTGACTGCAAGCTCCACCTCCCAGGTTCTCACCATTCTCCTGCCTCAGCCTCCCGAATAGCTGGCACTACATGTGCACACCACCATGCCCAGCTAATTGTTTGTATTTTTTAGTAGAGACAGAATTTCACCGTGTTAGCCAGGATAGTCTCAATCTCCTGACTTCGTGATCTGCCCGCCTCAGCCTCCCAAAGTGCTGGGATTACAGGCTTGAGCCACCGCACCCAGCCATGGTTGGAGCATCTTACCAAGGAACTATACTTGTAGTTTTTGAGTGGAAACAAGGGAGAAATTTTATTCATGCCTTGACCTAATTAATAATGCGTAACTAGATTCTGATGGCCGTTATCAATAGAACTGTCATCAGATTCAAAGAGCACTGGGCCGGGTGCGGTGGCTCACGCCTGTAATCCCAGCACTTTGGGAGGCCGAGGCGGGTGAATCATGAGGTCAGGAGATCGAGACCATCCTGTCTAACAAGGTGAAACCCCGTCTCTACTAAAAATACAAAAAATTAGCCGGGCGCGGTGGCGGGCGCCTGTAGTCCCAGCTACTCGGGAGGCTGAGGCAGGAGAATGGCGTGAACCCGGGAAGGGGAGCTTGCAGTGAGCCGAGATTGCGCCACTGCAGTCCGCAGTCTGGCCTGGGCGACAGAGCGAGACTCCGTCTCAAAAAAAAAAAAAAAAAAAAAAAAAAAAAAAAGATTCAAAGAGCACTGTTTGTCTCCTCTAATATGGAGAAATGCCACAAATAAGTGGGAAATAATTTAATGACTGTAGTTCATTTTTAATCATATAGCTGAGTGATATTTTAAGTCTGACAAGAATAGATATTTGAACAAAAATAGCCAATTCTCTGTTACATAATTTAATACATTTGTGTTAAGAGGTTTAGACAATAAAGTTAATTTTGAAATGCATTATAAATAACTGAGTAATTAGCAATCATTAAGTTTATTTTTAAATAAGTATTTAGATAACTAATTAGCAATCATTAAGTTCATTTTTAAATAACTGTTTAGTCCACAAAAAATAAAAAATATATTTTAGAAAGGGAGGGCATTCCAAAATCTGTCTCAGGAGCATTCAATCTCAAATATATTTTAATGAAGCAGAAATGTAAATACATGTTTAGATAATTTAGGTTAAAAAAGGTAAATTTTGGTTGCCTGCTTAACTTTTATGAAACAGATATTTTTCATTCAAGTCCAGCATATATTTTGCTATGACTTTCACATCCTTTCCTCAGAGACTATTTACCTAAACATTAGGGTACCAAAGGAACTAGGAAACAAAAACTTGTTAGAGAGAAAAATTTTAAGTGAGGCGCACATTCTGGTGATATTAATTTGTTTTTGACATTTTATTAATATTTTGAGAACACTAAGAAAATAAAATCCAAAGGGGCAAGCAGGTATCATTGTCTCAGTCTGGGCCCTCTTTTGTCATCCTCTGTAAGATGGCAGTCATCAAAGAGCGTGACCCAAGAAGAAAGTAAAACAGTGGAACAAATGAGCATTTCTCTAAATACAAACAGTAGAGTCCCTGAGAAAGAATCCTTTAAGGCCTTAGATTTCTTTAAACATTTTTAGATAAATAGTCTGGCCTATGCAGAACAAAATGAAATGGTGATAATGAACAGGATAGTGAAGTTTTGTACTAACTGACATAAACGACGAGTTGATTAATGCTTAGGATAGTGTGAAAGAAGAATTGAAAGCAAAATGCAAATCAAAAGAAGAAATACCCAGACAGACTCTTTCCTAAAACATGCATCATAAAATATTTAAAAGCATCTGCTTTAATGCATGGGCTGAGTCAAAGTAAGGCAAATTTTCAGATATCTACAAGAGCAAAAAAAGTTTGAATCCAGAGGTGTGAGTGTCTCATCTGGCATTTGCCCTGGGGTGTCTCCCAGGAACTATTGGCCCAGAACCATGAGCACCTAATTCAGGAGACAGAGACTGATGCCCATGCAGGGAGGAATATAGGCTAAAATGCCTCCTGCATAAATCTAGGATTTCTAAAGAGAAGCATGTTAAGTGGGGCTAGGAAAATCCCACTCCCATAAGAAGAAAGTGAAAATCTATGCTTGTCTTGGTTTCAATAGGGTAGACAAGAAAAAAGAAAAAAAAAATGGTAATTTCTAAGTATAAGTCAATAGACATATTGGTTTGGATTTGAATTCACACTATCTATGGGCCTGAGAAATACCAGGATGGAAATTAGCCTCTGGCAGTGAGAGGTTAGGCCAGCTGCACTTCCTGGGTCGAGTGCGGACTTGGGGAACTTTCCTGTCCTACAAGGAATTTGTAAAATGCACCAATCAGCCTCTGTAAAACACACCAATCAGCAGGATTCTAAAAGTAGTCAATAGTGGAGAGGATTGAAAAAAGGGCACTCTGATAAGACAGAAACGCAACATGGGTGGGAAGAAATAAGGGGATAAAAGCTGGCCACCCGCAACCAGCAGCAGCAACCAGGTGGGGTCACCTTCCAGAGTGTGGAAGTTTTGTTCTTTCGCTCTCAGCAATAAACCTTCCTAGGCTCACTTTTTGGTTCCGTGCCATCTTTAAGAACTGTAACACTCACCAGGAAGGTCCACAGCTGCATTCTTGAAGTCAGGGAGACCACGAACCCACCGGAAGGAACCAACTCTGGACACAGTCCTGCAAACTAGTTAATCTGAGTACAATCATAAAGAGAAATATATTTTGCACTAATACTGGGAAACAGATTTTGTAACACAGCTTTCATTGTTGTTAAGTGAAGATAGTATATTTTACAATAAGCAACACTGGGACCACTGATCTCCATAAGGGAAAAAAATGAAATTGAAATTTAATCCTGGAGAACAAACATAAAAATATATTTTAACGGATAAAGATAGCTTCTCAACATTTTTAGAAAAAAACCTGGGAATAATTATTTTTTTCTTTTTTGAGATGGAGTCACTCTGTTGCCCAGGCTGGAGTGCAGTGGCGCGGTCTCGGCTCACTGCAAGCCACCTCCTCTCCCATGTTCATGCCATTCTCCTGCTTGAGCCTCCGGAGTAGCTGGGACTACAGGCGCCCGCCACCCCGCCTAGACTAATTTTTTGTATTTTTAGTAGAGACAGGGTTTCACCGTGGTAGCGAGGATGGTCTTGATCTCCTGACCTTGTGATCTGCCCACCTCGGCCTCCCAAAGTGCTGAGATTACAGGCGTGAGCCACCGCGCCCGGCCATATCTTTTATCTTTACATGGGGAAGAAGAACAAACTGAAAGAGGAAAAATTGATTTGATAACACAAAAATTTAATACTTCTGTTTATTAAAGGATACTGCAATGTGAAAAAAAATACCCAAAACTTGGCAGAGCTATTTGCAACACATCTTACCTAGAAAGGTCTGGTATCCAGAATATGCCTCCTATAAATAAGTGAAAAATAACATGTCTGTTGAGAAGTTAGCACAAATACCCCATAAGCATGTAAAAAGTGCTCAACCTCATAATAATCATGAAAATGAAAATTAACAATTAGATATCCTTTCACACATATTGACAATTTTTTTTTTGAAGTTCTGAAACGTGTGGTATTGGCACGGATAAAGAACCATGGAAGTATTCATCCCACACACTAAAGTAGGACAGCCATTTGGAAAACAGAAAGATGCTGGCTCATACAGCTGATCATAATGTACCTTATGATCCAGTGACTTCACTACAACCTAGTGCAACCTAGTCAGCCTGTTACAGGCCCCAGAAAAATTCTTGCGTTTGTTTACCTAGAGATATATGAGAATGTTCCCAATTTTAAAAACCTGGAAACAATCTAGTTATCTCTCAATATGGGTAGATAGTGGACTGGGTAACTAAATGATCATATATTCCGATAATAGAGTACCTCGCAGCACTAAGAGTGAATGAACTGCAGCTATTCACATTCTCAAATACAGCACTGCAATGAGATACTACTGCATGCGTATTAGAATGGCAAAAATCCAGAACCCTGACAACACCAAATGCTGATGAGGATGTGAAGCAACAGGAGCTCTCATTCAGTGCTGATAGAAATACAAAATGGAGAACAGTTTTGTGGCTTCTTAGAAAACTAAATCTACTCTTATTATACGACCCAGCAATCTTGTTTCTTGGTATATATCCAAAGGAGTTGAAAACTTATGTCCACACAGAAACCTGCACACAGATGTTTATGGAAGCTTTATTTATAATTGCAAAAACTTGGAGACAAGCAAGATTTCCTTCAGTAGGTGAATTAACAAACTGTGGTACATCCAGACAATTGAATATCATTCAATGATAAAATAAATGAGCTGTTGGCCGGGTGAGATGGCTCACGCTTGTAATCCCAGCACTTTGGGAGGCCGAGGCAGGCAGATCACGAGGTCAGCACATAGAGACCATCCTGGCTACCACGGTGAAACCCCGTCGCTACTAAAAATACAAAAACTTAGCCAGGTGCAGTGGCAGGTGCCTGTAGTCCCAGCTACACGGGAGGCTGAGGCAGGAGAATGGCGTGAACCCGGGAGGTGGAGCTTGGCTTGCAGTGAGTGGAGATCACGCCACTGCCCTCCAGCCTGGGCGACAGAGCAAGACTCCCTCTAAAAAAAAAATAAAAAAATAAAATAAATAAAATAAAAAATAAAAAGAGCTGTCAAGCCACGAAAAGACACAGAGGACGCTTATATGCATATTACAAAGTGAAAGAAGCCAATCTAAAACGGCTACATACTGTCACTTCCAACTATATGACCTTTCTGGAAAAGGTAAAACTATAGAGATAGAAAAAAAAAATCAGTGGTTTCCAGGAGTTAGGAGGAAGAGAGGAATGAATAACTAGAGCACAGAGGATGCGTAGGGCCCTGAAAGTACATGTATGATATTTTAATAGTGAATACTTGTCATTGTAAATTTGTCCAAGCCTGAGTGTGAACCTTAATGCAAACTATAAGATGTATCATGTATCATTAATTGTAACAAATGCAGCACTCTGGTGGGGGGCGTTTATCATGAGAGAAGCTATGCATGTGTGGGGGGCAGGGAGTATATGGGAAATCTATACCTTCTGCTCAGTTTTGCTGTGAACTTTAAACTGCTCTAAAAAATAATGTGTGTGTACATGTATATATATATATATATATATATATATATATATGCATACACATGTTTGTGTGTATGCATATCTAATCACAAGAAACAATACATAGTTGGCCAGGCACGGTGGCTCACGCCCGTAATCCCAGCACTTTGGGAGGCCGAGGTGGGCAGATCATGAGGTCAGGAGATCGAGACCATCCTGGCTAACACGGTGAAACCCCATCTCTACTAAAAAAAATATAAAAAATTAGCCAGGCGTGGTGGTGGGCACCTGTAGTCCCAGCTACTCGGGAGGCTGAGGCAGGAGAATGGCATGAACCCGGGAGGCGGAGCTTGCAGTAAGCGGAGATCACGCCACTGCACTCCAGCCTGGGCAACAGAGGGAGACTCCGTCTCAGAAAAAAAAAACAAGAAACAATACACAGTTTCACTTATTAAAAAAGTCAAACATGTGCAAAACTAAACAATATGCAAGTCTACAATGACAAGCAATGGAATGATTAACAGGAAGTTAGGGATAGTGGTTACCTCTTGTGGAAAGAGTGAGTGGCATTGAAGAAGGGCAATGGGAGTTTCTAAGATACTGGAAATATTCTATTTCATAACCTGAAGGAAGGGCGCATATGCTCATTTTATATTCTTCTTAAGCTGTACACACACACTTTTATATTTATGATCTATTTCATTAAGTAACAAGACATATATATGCATTTGTAAATAAGTGAGATTAACACATTTTTGGATACATATAACATATCAAAGTTGACTCAAATAATTAGAAAATCTAGATGGAAATCATACCATTAAAGTAATTGAGTTAATAATTAATAATTCTACAAAGAAAACATGATGCCTAGATGATGTCACCAGTAGTTCCAATGTTACACTAATAATCTGCGAGGGGAAAAAAAAGAGACCATTCTTTAATTCATATGATACTAGGATAACCTTGCTATGGTGTACCTCATCCATGCACACAGACAAATAGTGTAAACAAAATACTAGGAAGTATACCTAGCAAAGTATAAAAACCATGAACAAGCTCGGTTAGTAATGCAAATTTAGTTCAGTGTTAGAAAATCTACTGAAATTATCTCCTTATCAACAAATTAAAGACAAAAATTATATGATTGTCTCAAAAGGCCTATAAAATTATTTTACAGCTGGGCACAGTGGCTCACGTCTGTAATCCCAGCACTTTGGGAGGCTGAGGCGGGTGGATCACGAGGTCAGGAGATTGAGACCATCCTGGCTAACACAATGAAACCCTGTCTCTACTAAAAAAAAAAAAAAAAATTAGCTGGACGTGGAGGCGGGCGCCTGTAGCCCCAGCTACTCGGGAGGCTGAGCCAGAAGAATGGTGTGAATCCGGGAGGCGGAGCTTGCAGTGAGCCGAGATCCTGCCACTGCACTCCAGCCTGGGCCACAAAGTGAGAATCCCTCTCAAAAAAAAAAAAAAAAATTTACAAAAATTAAATTATTGATATTTCCACCTATGAATAAAGGGTAACTTCCTTAACCTGATAAAAGGAGTCGACAAATAACCTACAGCACCTATCATGTTTTGTGATTAAAAATATTGAAATCACTCCTTTTAAAATCAAGAAAAAGACAAGAGTACCATTGTCACTAAACTGCTTCCAAAGCTTATATGGAAGAGAAAAGGGCCCAGTATAACTAAGACAATCCCATAGAAGACTAAAGTGTGCGAAGGTGGGAGGTGGAGCTTATGTGAGTCTATCTCGTACCAGATTTGCTGTGAAGTTATAATTACCACAGCAGGAATTGCTATTGTGAAAGTGTATGCTTGTGTGAAATCTTGATGTATGCCCTGGCTAACATTACAGAACAGTCAGAAAGGGTCTATATGATCCATGGTATGAGCAATTGGTATCCATATGGGAAAATATCAGAATGCATCTCTATCCCAAAAATGGATCCCTATCACACAAAGGCCAGATCTAAATGGACAAAGGACTTAAATTTGAGATGCAAATATTTAAAAATCTTTTAGAAGAAAATATAAGAGGGTAACTTATTACATGCCACACCTACTATGTGTACTTTGTACGATGCAAGTGTTGGATATGAGTGTAGTATGTAAGTGTAGATGCCTCTAAGCAGTATATGCATGCTTGCTACTTTACACACGTGAAACACTAGGAATGGGAGCATGAGAGGAAACCCTAGGTCATTCTGGTCTCCAGACTGCTGCTCCTGCCCACCCCCGGTTCCAGCACTCCCTTCCCCATTCTCCTATCCAGATCCTCTGTTCCAGGCACAGCCACTTACAGCAGCTCAAGCCAGTGGCACCCACGGAGAGGCCCTCTTCACCCTACTGCTGGGCTGTCATGTCCCCTTTCTTTTCTTTCTGAAAAACAGTTTTCTCTGCCTATGACTCCTCATGTTTCACTCTCTCTAAAGCACATGGAAGCCTGGTTCCCTCCTCTGCTTTATCAGACCTGTTGCTGTGAGTTCCACTAGTGACCCTGCATGACAAATTCGGAGGTTTGCTCCCTTTTGCATAGCGTAAAATGTTTACCTCGTGACATACTTGATAAATACAATTTTATAATTGTTAAGCTATCTATATATTCTGTATCTGTTTCAAAAATTATTTATAGGCGAGGCAAGGTGGTTCATGCCTGTAATCTCAGCAGTTTGGGAGGCTGAGGTGAGAGGATCATGAGGTCAGGAGATCGAGGCCATCCTGGACAACATGGTGAAACTCTGTCTCTACTAAAAATACAAAAATCAGCTGGGTGTGGCAGCATGCACCTGTAATCCCAGCTACTCAGGAGGCTGAGGCAGGAGAATCGCTTGAACCCAGGAGGCGGAGATTGCAGTGAGCCAAGATCGTGCCACTGCACTCCAGCCTGGCGACAGAGCGAGACTGCGTATTCAGCCCCCCCAAAAATATAAAGACAATGTCAATTATGCCACACATAGGTTGTTTTTATTCCATAATATTGCTCTCCATGTGTGTAATATGTTTCTACTTCACACATAGTTTTGATCAAAGATTAATCTATTGCACAGATATTTTTCTTAGTAATTAATAAAACTCAGCTTGGATTTCTTTAGCTAGATAAAACACCTTATACTAAGTGAATCAATCAAAGCTCTTTGTTGGAGTGAGATCTGAAAACTTTCGCTCAAGCTGGCTGCCTCAGCTTCACGGCATCAAATAATGGAGGGAGAAGTGGAGGCTGACATGCAGCAAGAATGACTGTGTGTGTGCTGGAGAGATATTTTGTTTAATTCATTTATAAGATACTCATGCCACACTGCTACGTGCCAAACAGCTGTTCTTGCTACTTGGTAAAAATTAATCATCTAATAGTTGAAAAGTTAATTGTTGTAATGTGACTTCAGTATGGCCAATCTCTGGGATTGAGAGCCAAAAAAAAGCATCACCATCATGATTGAGAAATGGAGTTACTGGCAGTAATGGAGCAAACCACGATTCTGCACTTGGACACAGAATTATTCCTGACAAGATCCTGGCTCCTAACTCTTCCACCAAAACCGAGTCTGCAGCTCCCACACTGAAATGCCGCTCATTTCACCCCAAGTGTGTTCCAGCCATTCCTTCTTCTCCTTCCTACCAGCTCTGTAATGTCTCCATCACAATGCTAAGGTCAGGGTCAATGGCACTTCGTTTCAGAAACTTTCTGAGAGCCCTGGAAAGTAATCTCTTCTTGTTCTTATTCCATGATCTCCTGCACCTTCTTTAAATCACTGATGATCATTTGTGTAGATGAGTTGTCTCCGTGTGTGTCTGACCTTTCTCCCAGTTGGTGAGTTCTGGAATCCAGGAAGCATTTTAGTAAAGTAATAGTTTTTAGTAATTTAGTTCACCTCTGTGCACCCTACAGCTGTTTCTCACATGTTGGGGCTGCCCAGTGAGCACTTGCTGAGGGAAACTGCAGGGAGACTTGCAGGTCAGGTTCACTGAGCCAGAAAGTGAAGCAAACTGAGAGGGCAAAGTGCAAGACACTGGCTGAAATATATGAACACACTGGGGAAACAAACATCCCCGGCCTCTGTGGAGGCGGAACACAGTCGCTGAGGTCTGTGATTCAGCAGCACCCACCTGGCAAAGCATGCTCAGCATCCGGCTTCGTTCTCCCATAGTGCTTTCATGGTGAGGAAGAAAAGCTATACATACTAACATGGGCCAGCTGGAAACCACAGCTATATAGTATTGCTTTTCAGCTTTTCAGCTGGAATTCCGAAAGAACTCTGAGGTCATGCAGAATGCGGCATATTGTTAGATGGGGCCTGGGTGGGCTTGGTGTTAGAGGACCTGCCCCAGGTCATGGTCTGTGGTGGGGAGGGAGGGTGCGATTTCCCATCCCCTTACCTCTTTGTCCCATCTTTTTTGCCCTGTACACACATGATCGTCCTCAATATCTTAAGTAGAATCTCCCATATAGCTAAAATTGATATTGGCATCTAAAGTATGCCTAACTTAGCTGAATATTTGGCCTTTGCCTTTAAAGGATCTGTAAGTTATTGGGATGAGACCAAGGAGAAAAAGGAAGACCATAGATAAGCATAATCTGCCATCCAATAATTTCATGACATGCTTATCCTTGGAATAAAGTTGGACTGTTGTCAGGAAACTGTCCCACCATTTTTGTTGCATGTAGAGACCTCCATTGCTATGGCCTCCATTGTAATGGGCTGTCATTGGGTTTGAAAAAAGTCTACATGTTGATTTTGATGGCAATAAAAGAGTCAGAGGTGCAAGCTGGAGCAAGGTGCTCGCCAAAGCTAGGCCTTTCCCCTCCCTCAGGAACTGGCAACAAGAGCAAGAGTTAGCTTCCTGAATGTTTGCATTTCAAAGAGACAGCTCTCAGGTCTTTGAGGAGACAATTCTGGGATGTAGATTTACACTTCAAAGGCAGAGAAAAGATTTATAATTGCAAGCTTTCTAAGGTTCTAAGAGGGGATTCGGGGCTCTACCTGCCCATCACCAGGTTTTGCCTGAAACAAACAGTAAATTCTCCTTGCAAGTGAGCTTTCTCAGGCAGTCATTTTAAGGAGGGCTGGGGTCATCTGTGGGACATCCTTGTGCTGCTGGAAGCCTCACTAGAGTTTGGTCCTCTCTTTGGGCAGGGGTTTGGAAGGAGTAGTTAAGTACTGCGAGGCCTGCGTTCTCATGACCAAAGTTCACAAATGCCCATTTCCTTCTTTCTTTCTTTTTCTTTTTTTTAATATTTAAAAATCTTTATGTGTCTATTAACACCTTTTGGAAATTTCCATCCCTTTCAAACTATGTTCCAGTCAAACAAAACAAAGTGTGGCCCAGCAGCCCTGGGGAGTCTCTGGGTGAAGGGGAGATGAGCACACAAATGTTGAGAGTTTGAGAACCCCTGGCCTTGATCTTTATGATAGTTGGTCAAGTGGTCATCAGTGAAATCCACAGGGATTCCCTGAGAGTGTATAGCTTTGGCATGATGGTTGCTGTAATCTGAAGGGGAAAGTAGAAGTTTACATGTGAGCACTGAAGAAGCTTGAGACTGTCTCGCTCTGTCACCCAGGCTGGATGCAGTGGGGCCTTCTGGGCTCACTGCAACCTCCACAATTCTCCTGCCTCAGCCTCCCCAATAGCTGGGATTACAGGTGCCTGCCACCACATCTGGCTAATTATGTTTTTCTTTAAAATTAGTTTTATTTAAAAAGTACAAGTAGCATCTTAGTTTTACTTTTGCAAAAAGTAAAGAAATGGTGTTTCGTTGCAAAAATTAAACAAATAAATTTTGGATTGTAGAAAATTCATTAAAAACTCAAATTTTAATTTATTTAAAATCTATCTGGTGCTGTAAGTGTGGCTATTGGCAGATCTCTTTTTATTTATTTTTATTGATTTATTCATATTATCAATAACTAATTTTTAAATTATTATTCGTGAGCCCTTTCCCATGACAGCTTCTTGGAAATTTCTTTCTCTCCCATTAATCTAGTATGATCTCTCAGGCATTCTTATTTAAAGTTCTTCCTCTCACTATTCCCTTCTTCACCATCATGCCTAGGTTAGTTACAAAGAACTAATTTAATGACCCATTTATTCTGAAGGGAGGCACAAGAAGTGAAGCTTCTTTCTGAGGCCTGAAGGGATCTCACCTCCTTAAATCTCTGTTTCCCTACCCCTACTTCAGATATTATTGAGACATTATATTTTCTTCCTCTACCTTCAGAAACTTCAGTATCAACAGGTCCAGATCTGCCTAAGCCCTCAGATGAGTCTGCAAACAATCATTGTGTCAACATTTGACTCATGCCTTGCAGATGATCCCAGGCACCGCTGTCTTAACCTGTGAAAACTGCAAATTCTTGGCACAAACAACTTCTTCTGCACATCCCTCCTCCTCATACATACAGTAAGGGACTTGGCCAAATTCCAACACAGCCTCTATCAGCTCAGAGCCACGTCCCTACGATGCCCCATACCCCTCTAAAGCACCTGCCTGGGAACATTCAATTCTGCCAAAAGAATTTATTGTTTGTCCCACCCAAAACTTGACTATAGGCCCCTGACCTCCCATTTCTAAGAGCCTTAACTTTAGAAAACTTGCAATTATGGCCAGGCGTGGTGGCTCAAATCCCATCACTTTCGGAGGCTGAGGAGGGTGGATCTTGAGGTCAAGAGAGCAAGACCATCCTGGCCAACATGGTGAAACCCCGTCTCTACTAAAAATACAAAAATTAGCTGGGCGAGGTGACACACACATGTAGTCCCAGCTACTTGGGAGGCTGAGGCAGGAGAATCACTTGAACTTGGGAAGCGGAGGTTGCAGTGAGCCGAGATCGCCCCACTACACTCTAGCTTGGTGACAGAGTGAGATTCCGTCTAGAAAAAAAAAAAAAAACACAAAAAAAAACAGAAAACCTGTAGTTATAAACCTTTTCTCTGTCCCTTTAAATCTCCTATAACACAGAATGTCTTTCTCAAAGACTTAGGAGCTATCCCTTTGGACTATAAGGATCAAGAAGGATACAGGATTGTCTCCTGGTCTCTGTCTCTGCGTAGGAACCTAACTTTGATAAGCACTATTAGCAAACACAGATGGCCTCATCACATTGACCAACCTTTCCCCAAACATCAGTCCATGCTTTTCCTTTAGCACACTCCAACATTTGCAGAGCCTCTTGCTTTTTGTTTCAGTGGAGTTGAGGCTTTCTAACATACTATAAATTGATATGTCTACTTATTGATTAGAAGACAGAAATTAATCACTGGATTTCATTATCACGCTGACTTTTAGGATTAAAGGCAGCCTGTGGTTACAGATGCAACATCTTTACATTTCGAAGAAAAACAGGAGAGATTTGTCTTTGGCTCCTTTGGACCTCACTGAGTAATAGAAAAGAGAGAATTGAACAGGTTTGGATGATACAGCACAAGTCAGTTTAAAGTTCCAGGCAAAGAAAGCAACGGTTATTTTTCACTCCAGAGAGTGAATCATTCTTTGGGGCCACAAAAGAGAAGATTTGAAGAATAAGCAGGGACATCTAGAAGGTGGCTGAGTGTACTCCATCAGGTTAAATTAAGCTATTTTGTTGTTGTTGTTCAAATAGCTTCCCCACAGGGTACATTTCATATCTAAAGTGCTATTCCCTCTCCCATCATTTTATTACATACGCAATATCTGGCTGAGAACCTCTTTCTTGCCCTCCTTCTTACTGGTTAAGAACACAGACAGTCCTCTCTTTGCACAGCAGTGCAGGGCCATACAAATCACTATGTAAGCTAAAGATCTGTAAAGTGACCTAAATAATCCATGTGAAACATCGACTGTTCTGTGTCATTTAAAAATTTTGGCCAAAACATTAAAAATCTCTTACTGTTGGTTATAAATGTATAAGGAAATGAAACATAGTGAAATTAGTACTTTTTTTTTTTTGAGATGGAGTCTCGCTCTGTCGCCCAGACTGGAGTGCAGTGGCACGATCTCGGCTCACTGCAAGCTCCACTTCTTGGGTTCAAGCGATTCTTCTGCCTCAGCCTCCCAAGTAGTTGTGGCATGCCACCACACCAGGCTGATTTTTTCTATTTTTAGTACAGACAGGGTTTCACTGTGTTAGCCAGGATGATCTTGATCTCCTGACCTCATTATCCGCCTCAGCCTCCCAAAGTGCTGGGATTACAGGAGTGAGCCACCGTGCCTGGTTGGGAGTACTTCATTTTTACACTGTAATTTAAAACATTAAACAACAGCCAATTAAAGTGCTTTATTTATTTATAGACGTGTATCAAGCCCAGTTTGAACAGTGCTTGCCTCCCTCTTGTCGTATAGCTTATGATAAGGAACCAGCAGTGTTTCTATGCCTTGGTGAACTGTCGTGCTGTTTTCGGAACAGCATCTAACATTGTCAACGTCATGCAATATCTACAAGAGTTCCTTTAATATGAAGTTTGTTGCTGTCTTTGCCGGCATCACTTCCTCTGGGGCTTCTTCATCCTTTTCATCACAGCTGCGTTCCTCATTTATGTCAGAACACTGCGTTGCGCCAAGTTCCTCTTGCTGCGTTTCCTGTGGTGAGCCAATTCTATGATTCCATTTACATTGTATTTGAATACACTTCCAGGGTTATCACATTTTTTATTTCTTTGCCGCACATCAATGGTTGTTGACCAGTTTTTTCTTCTGATTATTCATATTTATAAATGTCACATGGGTTTCTCACTGGGAGACAAGGAGTCAACACGATTGCAGACTCTGCTGTCTGTGTGCGAACTAGCAGATGCACAGTGAGCAGTCACTGACAGGCTTTGAAGGAGGTGAATTGTGTCCCCCTAAAAAGATATGTTTGAAATCCTAATCCCCAATATCTCAAAATAATATGATCTTATTTGGAAATAGCACATTTACAGAGGTTCTCAAGTTAAAATGAGGTCATTAGGGTGGGTCCTAATCCAATAGACTAACTGATGTCTTATAATAAAGGAGAATTTGGATACAGCTCCAGACACACACACAAAAAAGACGATGTGAAGACACATAGAGAAAACAGAGTGATATATCTGTAGATCAGACAACACCAAGGATGGCTGGCAAACCCAAACAGGAAGGAGAGGGGAAGAAGGATTCTCCCCTAGAGCCAGCAGAGAGCGTGAACCTGCCAACACATTGATTTCTGACTTCTAGCCTCCACAACTACGAGTCAATACATTTCTGTTGTTTTAAGCAACCCGGCTTTTCATACTTTGTTGCAGCATCCCCACAAGATTAATACAGTCCCTAATCATGATGCTTGCCTGTTATTTACTCACATAGGCATTTGTGGAATTAAGAGCTGGGAATGAAGTTTGGATTTTATGTAGTTGCTCACAGTTAGCATATTGTGGTAACTGAAATTGTAACCACGTTTTTGGGAGACTAGTGCTATTTAACTAAACTATGTTAATTAAACCTGTGCATATTCAAATGTGCAAAGCCAGGACTGTTTTTACTTAGTTCAGGTATTTAGAGGGAAAGAATGTTTGCCTCTTTTCAGGGCCTTAGAGCATGCCCTGTGCCAGCAGGCCCCTTCCACAGCTACTTAACATCTCTTCTCATCTTGCCAGCCACCTCTCAACTCAGATGACCAGCAAGGCCATCTTTGACTATCAAAATGAAGTAGCCCCTCTCCGCTTTTGACTACGTTCACTTGCTTTATTGTCTTTATAGCATTTTTATTTACTAAAATAACATTTTTTTCATTACTTGATTTTTTTCTTGATTCAGTACTTCTAAAAAATGCAGATTAAAATTCCAATGACAAACCAAGTTAACTAATGTTAAAAAGTGTGATACTGGTCAGGCACGGTGGCTCATGCCTGTAATCCCAGCATTATTGGAGGCTAAGGCAGGCAGATCACAAAGTCAGGAGATCAAGACCAACCTGGCTAACACGATGAAACCCCGTCTCTAACAAAAATACAAAATTTAGCCAGGCGTGGTGGTAGGCACCTGTGGTCCCAGCTACTTAGGAGGCTGAGGCAGGAGAATGGTGTGAAACCAGAAGGCGGAGCTTGCAGTGAGCCGAGATCACGCCACTGTACTCCAGCCTGGGTGACAGAGCGAGACTCTGTCTCAAAAAAAAAAAAAAAAAAAAAACTGTGATACTATTAGGTATTGTTGAGAATATAGATCTATCAGAACCTTTAACTTCTAATGGGAGCATAAATCGGAAAACAGTTCATTTTAACTTAGTGTACAAATCTTTTGACACAATGATTTGAATGTTGGGTTTATACCTTAGAGAAAATCTAACTCTTATGTCCAGGAGACTCATACAAGAAAAGGACATCTACTTTTTGTAACAGAAAAAAATGGATAATAACCCCAATCTAATAAAATGGAATGCTCATTATAGTATTATCCTGTGAAGGAATACTCTAAATCAATGCACAGAAAGTACAGATAAGAATATCATAAGAATGAATCTTACAAATTTAATATTGAACCAAAAAGCAATTTCAGAAAAATATATTCAGTGTGATCCCATTTGTTTAAACTGAAAAACATGTAAAACAATAATGTTCAATGTCCTTTACTAATGCATTTATTTTGGCAAAATTATAAAGAGAAGAAATGGGACTAATTAACAGGACAGTGTTAAGGACTCTAAAAATATGGGTAGTTTTTGATTCTTAGGCAGGTAATGTGTACATCAGTGTTCATTTTATTATTTCTTACGCTGTCTTCATGACTTACACATATTTTGCTAGTTTTAAAACATAAGATGTGATAATAATCTAAACAGACCAAAGGAAAAAAATGAATATGTTAAAAAAAAGACAGAGAATGAGCCCTGTCTGATAGAAAGCATAACAAAGCAAGTAGAAGAACTCTCACGAATGCTTGATCCAATAAAGCTAGGTTTGTGATCCACAACACTTCAGCATTTTAATGTGATTTTTGATGTTTGCTTTTTGCAACGGTGATTCTCAGTTGCCTCCCTCCTATGTCTTTACAAGCTGAAATCAAGTGAAGCTACTTCTGACTTTTTCTAAAACTAAAACACAACATGAAGGTCTGCGTATTCTTTCACATGTGAACGTATGTGGCACTTTTCCATGATGCAACAGCAGCGGGTCTCTAGCTAAGCTACAGCAGCAGCTCTAAGAGGCAGAGGACCCTGAAATGAGGCTGAAAGAAAGAATAGTCCATAACTGACATCAGGCAGGCTGCTGTTGTAAGCAAAGAAAGGAGGCTCACAGGGGCGCGGACTCAGGCCAGGTCAGGCTATTGTGGGAGAACACGGAGCACACGTGTCAGCTGGAAAGGGGCCGGCTCAGGAGACAAAATAGGCACGAGAGGAAACCGAAAAATTGACATACATGACTATCCTTGTAGAAATGTATAAAGGTTTGGATTATTTTGCTTATCGAGTTATAATAAACTTATTCTAAAAATGTTTATGTAAAGTATTATGTACATTTTTGTTTTACCTTATAAAGATTATTTATATTTGAATTGTGTGGTTTTGGAATGACAGTATTTATAAAGTTGGTTTTGACATTCTCTACGATGCTTAATGAAGAAACTGACGTTCAAAGAGATTGGTTAATTCCCTGTGGCCAGTGGCTGAGCTGGGACAGAGTTCAGGTTTTCTGATTCTCAGCCTATGTTGTTTTCTCTTCATTTTAATGTGAACCTAAATAGGTATAGGATCTAGACAAATATGACATGTAGTGCCTTATTTCTTGTTTTCTCTGTAATGAATGCCAGGTGAGATAACTTTATTTACAAAAGCCCATCCAGTGGCTCAGGTTGCATCTGTAGTTGCCTTTGAATCATTTATTCAACGTCAGGATGGTAAAGTGAGGAGCTTCCCCAAACTGAAGCAGAGTGGCATTTGTCCCAGGTTGTAGAGTGTTCCCTGCCATAAATAAAGACATGCTGGTTCTTGTTATTTATACAGGCACTGGGGTTCCCATTAGCTCTTACATTTCATATGCTTAGAGCAAGAAGCTAGAGAGTGACTTAGGATACAGTGTAAAGATAGTAAATTAAGGCAGTTCTGCAAGATTTTTAGGACTTCTTTTTTTCTTCTATTCATCATTTATGAAGTATTCTTGCTGGAAATAGTTTATGTCTCTCTATCTTGCTGACTGATGAATACTCGGCCAGGATGCTAAAATGTGGTTTCATGAAGTATGTTGTGTTTCTGTCTGTTCTTGTTTCCTTCCTTGAAATGTGTAAAAGTGAAAAACATATTAATCATAAATCAAGCATTCATCATAAGCCTAAAAAAAGATAAAATAATCAGTAGTATCATTGACTAAAATTATTACTCACCAAAAGAAACTCACTCCAAAGTTAGCACAATACTAACAGAGAATCCTAGTTTTGCCAGGAATCACTGAGGCATAGTACCTCACATGGGAAACATGGGAAGTAAAACCACCTGAGGAGCCGCTTGATGGTGAGTCAGGCTGTTCCTCGAAGAGCAGGCTGTGACTGCCAAACTTTGTAGGTTAAGGAGTATTTATAATGATCTTTGAGGAAACTGCAACTGACAATTGAGGAAAAAAAATGTTAGTTCATGACTGCAAAATACATGACAGAATCACAAAAAGTATTTTACAAGTTTAAAAAACAAACCTGATGCTGATGCAAGGTAGGCGAACCCCAAAGTGGGGCTTAGCCTGCAAGGGTTCTTGGCTTCACCCAGGAAAGGATTCAAGGGCGAGCCAGTGGTAAGGTGGAAGAAAACACCTTTATCAAAGCAACACTGTTACAGCTCCTGTGGGGTCACAGCTCAGTGACTGCTCCCAGGGTTGCCCCATAGGCAGGGTGTCGAGAGTAGTGGCTGAGCCCAGTTTTGCAGTCATATGTATACCTACTTTTAATTACATGCAGATTCAGGGATGGTTTGTGCAGAAATTGTTAGGAAAAGGGTGGTAATTTTTGGGTCATCAGGTCATTGCCGCTGAAAGGGGTGGTAATGCCTGAGTGTTGCCATGGCAATGGTAAACTGACAGGGCACACTGGTGGGTGTGTCTTACAGAAAGCTGCTTCCGCTCTGTCCTTGTTTAGCTAGCCCTCAATCTTTTGTTTGTAAATTAGCAAGAGAGTCATGGTCTTGGCGTTTTATCCCAGAAGTACAGTGGACCCCAGAGCACTCTAGACCCAGGAGCCAAACCAAATCACAGCATCCCACAGTTGTGTCCAGCCCTCCATCACTGATTGGCTGCAATCCAACAAGTGGCCCAGAGGGGAGGGTTCATTGAAAGCTCTTTGCTAAGTGACAGGCCTTTAAGGAGGAAAAGGCTCTTAAAGATTGGTATGGGATGGGGGAAGTGTTTGTGGTCACCACGGCACCCCAAGGCTGTGGCCTTCTCTGAGCACCCTGAGACTCAGCCATGTCTTTCTCTCTGTTTTCCCACAAAACCAGCCAGTGCTAAAGCATATCCTCCTGGCCTACAAACAGTGGCCATGACTTCCAACTCATCCAGGCTACTTCTGATTTAGTGTTAGGCCGCCCACTTGATGTGTATGTTCCCATGCTGTGTCGACCCTATTACTTAATGAAAACACACAGCACTCGTTTGCTTCTCAACTTACTTCTCATGAAATATTACTACTCCTCCCCACCCAATCACAATCCTTTGCTGCCAAAAATCCCTTGCTACCCTGTACATTTTGCCCAATAAGGGAACCCCTCAGCACACACACACAATGGCCTACTCAGAAGGCTGAGTCAGCAGAATCACATGAACCAGGGAGTTGCAGGTTGCAGTGAGCCAAGATCGCGCCACAGTGCTCCAACCTGGCGACAGAGCAAGACTCTGTCTCAAAACAAACAAACAAACAAACAAACAAAAAACAAAAAAAATGCCTCACTCATCTCACTTATGTAATCATGACAGTACCATTAATTGTATTATCCCTATAATACAGATGACAGCTGCCAAAAATATGCAGAGAAGGGTTAATTAAACTGCATAACATTACTCAGAGAATGCATTCTTTTTATTCCATAGGTTTTTCTATTACAGTACTACATACACAGAGGCCTTCCATTGGAAATAACTTATAGGAATTATTGTAGGTCTCTTTGCACTTTCTTCAGCTCTTGGTTTAGGTCTCAAATTGTGAGTGATTTCTCTCTTTAGTGAAGTTGTAATGCAATTCATTACCATAGCAGAAAACACAGAAAATATTACCTATTTATTAACTGGAAATGCACTCACATCTTGTATTAGTCCATTCTCATGCTGCTATGAAGAAATATCCAAGACTGGGTAATTATAAAGAAAAGAGGTTTAATTGATTCACAGTTCCACATGGCTAGGGAAGCCTCAGGAAACTTACAATCATGGCAGAAGGCACCTCTTCATATGGTGGCAGCAGAAATAATGAGTTTTGAGCAAAGGGGAAGCCCCTTATAAAATGATCAGATCTCATGAGAACTCACCCACCATCATGAGAACAGCATGGGGGCAACTACCCCATGATTCAATTATGTTCACCTGATCCTACCCTTTACACTTGGGGATTATGGGAACTGCAATTCAAGATGCGATTTGGGTGGGGACACAGAGCCAAATCATATCATTCTGTCCCTGGCCCCCCTCCAAGTCTCATGTCCTCACATTTCAAAACACAATCATACCTTTCCAACAGTTCCCCAGAGTCTTAGCTCATTACAGCATTAACCCAAATGTCCAAGTCCAGAGTTTCATCTGAGTCAAGTCCCTTCCACCTATGAGCCTGTAAAATCAAAAGCAAGTTAGTTACTTTGTAGATACAATGGAGGCACAGGCATTGGGTAAATACACCCATTCCAAATGGGAGAAATTGGCCAAAACAAAGGGGCTACAGGCCCTATGCAAGTCTGAAATCCAATAGGGCAGTCATTAAACCTTAAAGTTCCAAAATGTTCTCCTTTGATTCCAGGTCTCACATCCAGGTCACACTGATGCAAGAAGTAAGCTCCCATGGCCATGGGCAGCTCCACCCCTGTGGCTTTGCAGGGTACAACCCCCTCCTGGCTGCTTTCATGGGCTGGCATTGAGTGTCTGTGGCTTTTCCAGGGGCACAGTGAAAGTTGTCAGTGGATCTACCATGCTGGGGTCTGGAGGACAGTGACCCTCTTCTCACAGCTCCACTAGGTAGTACCCCAGTGAGGACTCTGTGTGGGGGCTCCAACCCCACATTTCCATTCTGCACTGTCCTAGCAGAGGTTCTCCATGAGGGCTTTGCCCCTGCAGCAAACTTCTGCCTGGGTATCCAGGCATTTCCATACATCCTCTGAAATCCAGGTGAAGGTTCCCAAACCTCAATTCTTGACTTCTGTGAACCCACAGGCTCAACACCACATGGAAGCCTCCAAGGCTTGGAGCTTGGACCCTCTGAAGCAATGGCCTGAGCTGTACCTTGGCCCCTTTTAACTGTGGCTGGAGCTGAAGCATCTGGGAGACAGGGCACCATGTCTCAAAGCTGCATAGAACAGGGGGTCTTGGGCCCATGAAACCATTTTTCCCTCCTAGGTTTCCAGGCCTGTGATGGGAGAGGCTGCCAAGAAGGTCTCTGACTTGCCCTGGAGACATTTCCCTCATTGTCTTGGTAATTAGTATTCCACTCCTTGTTCTGCAAATTTCTGCAGCTGGCTTGAATTTCTCCCAAGAAAATGGGTTTTTCTTTTCTATCGCCTTGTCAGGCTGCAAGTTTTCCAAACTTTTATGCTCTGCTTCCTCTTGAACACTTTGCTGCTTAGAAATTTCTTCCACGAGATACCCTAAATCATCTCTCTCAAGTTCAAACTTCCACAGCTCTCCAGGGCAGGGGCAAAGTGTTGCAGTCTCTTTGCTAAAGCATAGCAAGAATCACCTTTATCCCAGTTCCCAACAAGTTCCTCATCTCCATCTGAGACCACCTCAGCCTGGACTTCATTTTCCATGTCACTATCAGCATTTTGGTAGAAGCCATTCAAGTCTCTAGGAAGTCCCAAACTTTCCCACATCTTCTTGTCTTCCAAGTCCTCCAAGTCTCTAGGAAGTTCCACACTTTCCCACATTCTTCTGTCTTCTTTTTTTTTTTTTTGAGATGGAGTTTCGCTCTTGTTGCCCAGGCTGGAATGCAGTGGTGCAATCTCTGCTCACTGCAACCTCCACCTCCCATGTTCAAGCCATTCTCCTGCCTCAGCCTCCCAAGTAGCTGTGATTACAGGCATGCATCACGATGCCCAGCTAATTTTATATTTTTAGTAGAGATGGGGTTTCACCATGTTGGCCAGGCTGGTCTCAAACTCCTGACCTCAGGTCATCCACCTGCCTCGGTCTCCCAAAGTCCTGGGATTACAGGGATGAGCCACCACACCCAGCCTTTACTGTCTTCTTCTGAACCCTCCAAACTATTCCAACCTCTGCCTGTTGCCCAGTTCCAAAGTCACTTCCACATTTTAGTGTATCCTTATAACAGCACCCTATGTCTGTGGTACCAATTTACTGTATTAGTCTGTTTTCATGCTGTTATGAAGAACTCCTCAAGACTGGGTAATTTATAAAGAAAAGAAGTTTAATTGACTCATAGTTTCACATGGCTGGGGATGCCTCAGGAAACTTACAATCATGGCCAAAGGCACCTCTTCACAGGGTGGCAGCAGAAACAATGTGTTCTGAGTGAAGGAAGAAGCCCCTTATAAAACCGTCAGATCTTGTGAGAACTCACTATCACAAGAACAGCCTGGAGAAAACCACCCCTGTGATTCAATTATGTCCATCTGGTCCCACCCTTGACACATAAGGATTATGGGAATTACAAGATTACACATTAATCTTAAATTACACATTAATAAGTGTGTAATGAAACATCCCCTTTTTTTATTTGAGTTCATTTCAATAGATATGGAAATAATAGAAAATGCATCTGACATCAAATTCCTGGGAAGTACAGGCAAAAAAAAAAAAAAAAAACAAAAAAAAAAACAGATCTTTAAAGGTATTTGAATAAGTAAATGTTGCAGCCAAACCATATCACTTGTTAAAAATGCACGTTAACCATTGAATCAAAACCATATATAAGCTTAGATAATTCAATTTCAACCAGATTATTCCTTTTATTCTTTAAATGATGGAGAACATTATAGCCATAGGCTCGTGCTGACAATTTTTCCTTAAATGAATGAAAAGATGAATTTATTTTTCTCAAAGAATTCTGTACCATTATAGGAATAAAAGATCAGCAGTTGTAACAGGGAATGGCCAAAAAGCCTGAAATAACATTGCTGTTAAGAATTAGCTGTTACAAAATCGCCCCAAGAAATCTCAGTGGTCCACAAACTTCACATGGTTGAAGGCCATAATTATTATAAAAGTTGAACTATGTTAATTCAGAGGTCACTGTCATTATTACTCTCAAGGATCCAAGAGCCATGCGTAATCCCAGAACATTGCGTACCTAATCAGGAATGGAGAAGTAACGTCCTTTTGAATTTTATACCTCTGGGGCTGCCCATAAAAATCTTAGGATTTTGAGCTCTTTGAGGGTCATGATTTTTACCTCTATTCTCTTTGTGTCCACAAACATCTAAGATATCAGTAATGTTATTCACTAATTTGCTGACAAAGAGGAAATTGAATAAAATTTAAATATATTTACTCTGAAAGTAATAAAATTTAAATATATTTACTCTGACTATATGATCTTTAGAATAAACTAATTTTTCAGTGATTCATTCTGCACAATTTTAAATCTTTTTCATAGTAACCTCAGTTTGCGTGACTTTAAATGGGAAAACTCACATTTTAAATGTATAATGAAACATCCTCATTTTTGATTTGAGTTCATTTCAATAGATATGGAAATAATAGAAAATGTCCCTGAGGTCAAATTCCTGGGAAGTAGAAGCAAAAAAATACCAGATCTTTAAAGGTATTTGAATAAGTAAATGTTGCAGTCTGTACTTTATCAGTAAGCTATGATACAAAAAACAATGCATGGCAGTTGCTTGTCAATTTTGTGATTTATTCAGAAACATACATCTCTGCATACACTTACAGTTTTATACAGTAGTGCAAAACGTCAAAAGCACTGATGTTGCTCAAAGGAAATGTTAAGGAGCTAACTAAGGCTCGCTGCAAATTCCTTCACAAACCCGTCCAATCCTGTGAGCGTCGAGCGGCCTTCACATCACAGCCTGCATCCTGACAGGCCTGTGAGACCCATCCCGCTTCATGGAACATGAGTCAGCAGCTCAGGGAAGGACAAGGACATCTACATAATTGGCTTGAAATATTCAACTTTTCAAAATTTTATATTTTCATACATATAAATATATATTCTAAAAATGTATTTTTGTTTTTCTATCCGAACAGAAGTGCAATAATTCTTTAAAAATACTTCTAAACAGACCGGGGCAGTGGCTCACACCTGTAATCCCAGCCCTTTGGGAGGCCGAGGCAGGTGGATCACAAGGTCAGGAGATTGACACCATCCTGGCTAACACGGTGAAACCCTGTCTCTACTAAAAATACAAAAAAATTAGCCAGGTGTGGCGGCGGGCGACTGTAGTCCCAGCTGCTGGGGAGGCTGAGGCAGGAGAATGGCGTGAACCCGGGAGGCGGAGCTTGCAGTGAGCCGAGATCGCGCCACTGCACTCCAGCCTGGGTGACAGAGCGAGATTCTGTCTCAAAAAAAAAAAAAAAAAAGATAGAAAATAGCATTAACCTTGAAGGACGCTTTACGCCAAATGGACCTAATAGACACATACAGAAACTTCACCCAACAGCAGCAGAATACACATTCTTCTCAGGGACACATAGAACATTCTGCAGGATAGACAACAGGTTAGACCACAAGATGAATCTTTGCAAATTTAATATTAGAATCATATCAAGTACCTTTTCAGACAACAATGATATGACACTAGAAACCAACAATAGAAGGAATTCCAGAAAATGTACGAATACGTGGAAACTAAGCAACATGGTGGTGAACCACCAATAGGTCAATGAAGAAATGAAAATTAAAAGAATTAAGCAACATACTCTTGAACAACCAATAGGTCAATGAAGAAATTAAACAAGAAATGTAAAAATATCTTGAGAAAAACAAAAATGGAAACACAACATACCGAAACTTATGAGATACAGCAAAAGCATTTCTAAGAGGAAAGTTTATAGCAATAAACATCAACAGCAAAAAGAAGAAAGATCTCAAATAAACAACTTAGTATTATGCCTCAAGGAAATAGAAAAAGGATATCAAATTCTTCCAATGTTAGCAGAAGGAAATAAAATAATAAAGATCAGAGCAAAAATAAGTGAAATGAAAACTAGAAAATGACACAAAAGATGAACAAAACTAAGTTTCTTAAAAATATAAAACCAATAATCTTTTAGCTAGACTAAGAAAAAAGGAGAGAAGACTCAAATAAATAAAATTAGAAATGAAAAAGGAGACACTATAACTGATACCACAAAAATACAAAGGATCATAAGAGACTGTTACAATTACATGCCTTTACAAAAATCATTTTTTCATTGGCAACAACATTGGAAAATGTTACGCTAAAAGAAATAAGCGAAGCCAAAAAAGACAAAAACTTCATGATCTCAATTATATGTGGAATCTAAAACAATCAAACTGAAAGAAGCAGAGAGCAGAATGGTCATTAGCAGAGGCTGGAGGTGCGGGGTGGAATGGATAGATATTGGTCAAAAGGTACAAAGCCTCATTTATACAAAAGGAATAATAAGGGTTTTTTTTCTTTGAGATATATTGCAAAACTTGGTGAAAATAGTACATAGTAAAGAATTCTACATTTTAAAAATCACTAAGAGAGTAAATTTCAAATGCATTCCCCATTAAAAATGACAAGTATTTGAGGTGGTGGATGTTAATTAGCTTGATATAATTATTCCAAATTGTATTCATAAATTATATCATCATTTTGTACTCCATAAATATACACAACTATGATTTGTCAATTTACAATTTAAAAATAAAAATCAAAGCACAAAACAAAACAAGAAAACACAATATGTGTGTGTGTACCTATGCATGTGTGCGTCCATACAAGTGCACACACACACCCCCTTCACCTCCATTACTTTCCAAAGTGGACAAATGTGTAATTATTTCTAATTAATCATTAGAAATACATCAAGGAACAAGTACAATAAGGCAAGTAAATTTACTGATATCCCATCAGAGATAAGTGGGACATTGCAAATTAACAACAATGGAGGAACAAACCACAGTTTATTTTCTTACTTTATGAGACATCCTTTTTGAATTTTGAAAAATTATAGAGAAGTATCTTTAATTTGGTGTAGATGCTTAGTTATTCAAAAGGGAACTTAGAAAAATTAGAAGCAGGCCACTTCATTATTTTTCACAATAATAACCAATATGAAACTTTTCCTGGAAGACTAAAATCTTACCACAAAGAAATTAAGCAAAAACATTGGGCACTTCTTATATAAATACAGCCTGTTTTGAAATGGTATGTTTTTTAATTTTTACAAACATTTTCACTTGCAGATAATTTCGCATGTGCATAAAAGTTGAAAAAATATGCAAAGAACTCCCATATACCTACCCTTTACCCAGGTTTATCAATTGTTAACAGATCATCACACTTGTTTATTCTAGATAGGTATTGATATAGATATACACACACATTTTTCTGAATTATCTAAGAGCAAGATGCAGACAGTATGCCCCTTTATTTCTATACACTAGTGTAGATTTCCTAGGAACAAAGTCATTCCTTAAAGGAGGAAATTCAGTGAGGCTTTCTGCAGTAAATGACATTCTGAGCCAGCTGATTTGGCCTTGTGACCAATATGAGGGACTATTTAACTTTGTATTTTTTTATCTCCTTCTTTCTTTACACCCAGTTATATTGTTTTCCATTTCGTTTACTCGCATAAATGTCAGATTTGTCCATGTGATTTATCAGGTTTATCAGAATATCAACTTGAATCTTTTCTTTTCTCTAACATTTATCTAAATATCTCAGGAGACTCTCATCCTTCCTTCTCTCCTTTATTCCATTTGCAAAGTTAAAAAAAAAGCCTCAATTATGGCATTTCAGTATTCATAGTAGTACAGATAATACATTTATATCAAGGAAAAGAAACGCATTTTAGGCCAGGCGCGGTGGCTCACGCCTTTAATCCCAGCACTTTGGGAGGCCAAGGCGAGCGGATCAAGAGGTCAGGAGATGGAGACCATCCTGGCCAACATGATGAAACCCCGTCTCTACTAAAAATACAAAAATTAGCTGGATGTGGTGGCGCGTTCCAGTAGTCCCAGCTACTCCGGAGGCTGAGGCAGGAGAATTGCTTGAACCCGGGAGGCGGAAGTTGCCGTGAGCCGAGATGGTGCCATCGCACTCCAGCCTGGCGACAGAGCGAGATTGTCTCTCAAAAAAAAAAAAAAAAAAACGCATTTCAAAGGTAAGGAGACATAATATAGAATTTGTACACCAGATTCTGAACTTATGACTATTTTTAAAGGATAATTTGAAAGTTATACCAGAATATGCTGCTTCTTGATTTGGTCTTATTTTGCTCTTTTTATTTCTTGTTTTTGTTTGTTGTTTGAGGTAGGAATTTAGTTGGTTGAGGACTTTATCACTTCTAATATAAACATTTAGTAATAAAAATTTTCCTCTCACCTCTGCTTCAGCTGCATCTTACATATTTTCATATACCTTATTTTTATTTTAAATCAGTTGTATGCACTTTAGTATATTGTCAACAAGATAATATTTCTAAAATAAAAACCAAGACATCAAGGGTTTACTTTCTGAACATTTCTTAACATTAAATCAGCACAGCATCTTCCCAGATCTTTTCGTTTTTGGATGGCTCCATACTTTATTCCCTACCCACTTCCTCTTTCCTTTAAAGAATGATTAACAGATTCCATAGACAATATCAAATGAAACCCGAAACATAACCAAAGTAATTGGAAGTAAAAGAGAAGGAAGGGTAAGATAGTTAACATAAACATGAACCAGTTTATACACTTTTTAATAATGTTTTTCTTTTACTTAAAAAATAAGTAGAGTGTAAAGGTAGTCCTTTGTTTAATCACTGAATCTCAAACTGTTTACTACAGAATAAAACAAGTAAAATAATCATGATCCATTATAAGCTTAATCAAGATGAGCACTGTTTAATCCTGATTAATTTATAACTAATTTTCTGCTGCTGGTACACTTTTTAAAAACAGCTTTGTTTAGCCATAATTTAAATTTTGTGTAATTTACTCACTTAAAATGTTTCATACATATTAATATATTCATTCAGTTGTTCAATCATCACCAAAGTTTCATTTTATAACATTTTTGGTACCCTCAAAGAGTCCCAGTACCCATTAGCAGTCACTTCCCATTCCTCCTCCACCTTACATCATTAGGCAACCACTGTCTAAACTTGCCTGTTTGGGAGATTTTATATAAACGGAATAATACAAAGTGCACTCTTTGGTTCTGGTTTCTTTTATGCAGCATGATATTTACAAGAATATAATATTTTCACCCAGGTTGCAGCATGTGTTAGTACTTCATTCCTTTTG
This sequence comes from Homo sapiens, assembly GCF_000001405.40. NCBI lineage: Eukaryota > Metazoa > Chordata > Mammalia > Primates > Hominidae > Homo > Homo sapiens. The sequence continues at coordinate 61,146,219 of NC_000009.12, read as the reverse complement.
TTGGTCAATAACATGATATCATATATACGATATACGATACACCATATTGTATTTATCCATTCATCAGTTAATTAACATTGGGGTTGTTTTTACTTTTTGGCTATTATAAGTAATACTGTAATAAATATTAAAATTTTTTAAGAGCTTGTGAAGAATGGCACTAATTCTTCTTTAAATGATTGGTAGATATTATTCTAGAAATGATATCATTTCATCAACATTATCTAATATGTTGACATTCTTTTTTTCATAGTACCTTTAACAGTTCTTTTTATTTCTATAAGGTCAATAGTAATGTCCCTCTTTCGTTCTTAATTTTAGTAAGTTGAATCTTTCTTTCTCCCTGTAAGTGTAGCTAAAGTTTGTTAATTTTGTTAATCTTTTTAAAGACCCAACTCTTGGTTTTGTTGATTTGCTCTACCATTTTTTCTATTTCTTTAATTTCTATTTCAATGTTTATTATATCCTTTCTTCTGCTTATTTTTCATCATGATCTCATCTCTGACTCATTGGTTATTTGGAAGTATGTAGCTAATTTTTATAAGTTCTGCTTTTCCCAAAGTTCTTTCTGTTTTTAATTTCTAATTTAATTCCACTTTGATCAAAGAACAATCATTTTCTACTTTTTTTGAGGTTTGGTTTTTGGCCTAGCATGTGATGTATTTTAGGAACTGTTCCATGTGCACTTGAGAGTAATGTTCTGCTTTTGGGTGTACTGTACTGTCATCTAGCTAGTTTATACTGTTACTCAAATCCTCCATATTCTTGCTAGCATCTATTTAGCTTTTCTGATTATCGAAAGTGAGATACTGATGTCTGCTACGATTACCATCTCCAACTATTATTGTTGAATTCTACCTTTAATTCACCTTTAATTCTACCTTTAATTTTTGCTTTGTAGATTTTGGAAAAATTTCGTTCAGTGCACATAGGTTTATAATTTTTATACCTTCTTGATATATTGTCTCTTTAACATTACAGCATGTCCTTTTTTATCTCTGATGTATCAGTCTGTTCTCACAGTGCTAATAAAGACATACTTGCGACTGGGTAATTTATAAACGAAAGAGGTTTGACCTGGCTAGGGAGGCCTCACAATCACGGTGTAAGGCAAGGAGGAGCAAAGTCACATCTTACAATCATAGCGGCACGCAAGAAAGCATGCTTTATAAAAGCATCACATGGCCGGGCGCTGTGGCTCACGCCTGTAATCCCAGCACTTTGGGAGGCCGAGGCGGGCGGATCATAAGGTCAGGAGATCAAGACCATCCTGGCTAACACGGTGAAACCCCGTCTCTACTAAAAATACAAAAAAATTAGCCGGGCGAGGTGGTGGGCGCCTGTAGTCCCAGCTACTCGGGAGGCTGAGGCAGGAGAATGGCGTGAACCCCGGGGGGCGGAGTGTGCAGTGAGCCGAGATCGCGCCACTGCACTCCAGCCTGGGCGACAGCGAGACTCCGTCTCAAAAAAACAAAAAAAAACAAAAACAAACAAAAACAAACAAACAAACAAAAAAGCATCACATAACTGGTCTGAGATAGTATCTCATTGTGGTTTTGATTTGCCTTTCTCTAATGACCAGCGATGATGAGCTTTTCTTCATATGTTTGTTGGCTGCATAAATGTCCTCTTTTGAGAAGTGTCTGTTCATATCCTTTGCCCACATTTTGATGGGGTTGTTTGTCTCTTGTAAATTTGTTTAAGTTCCTTGTAGATTCTAGATATTCGCCTTTTGTCAGATGGACAGATTGTAAAAATTTTCTCCCATTCCGTAGGTTGCCTGTTCACTCTGATGATAGTTTCTTTAGCTGTGCAGAAGCTCTTTAGTTTAACCAGATCCCATTCGTCTATTTTGGCTTTTGTTGCCATTGCTTTTGGTGTTTTAGTCATGAAGTCCTTGCCCATGCCTATGTCCTGGATGGTATTGCCTAGATTTTCTTCTAGGGTTTTTATGGTTTTAGGTCTTATGTTTAAGTCTTTAATCCATCGTGAGTTAAATTTTGTATAAGGTGTAAGGAAGGGGTCCAGTTTCAGTTTTCTGCGTATGGCCAGCCAGTTTTCCCAATACCATTTATTAAATAGGCAATTCTTTCCGCATTGCTTGTTTTTGTCAAGTTTCTCAAAGATCAGATGGTTGTAAATGTGTGGTGTTATTTCTGAGGCCTCTGTTCTGTTCCATTGGTCTATATCTCTGTTTTGGTACCAGTACCATGCTGTTTTGGTCACTGTAGCCTTATAGTATACTTTGAAGTCAGGTAGCATGATGTCTCCAGCTTTGTTCTTTTTACTTTTGCATCTTTTAAAGAAGCTGAGGAAGAAAGGAGGGCAAGTATACATTTGTAAAGTTTGTGATATTAATCTTCTTTATCTGCCATTTCTGGTTCTCTTTATTTTTGTACACCTGAAAAACCATCTGGTGTCAACCTCTTGGTTGGTCCAATATAGATTTGCTTCTGCTCATATCCTTTGTGCCATTATTGTCAAATATATTACATTTCCATAGGTTACGAATCCAACAATCTGTGTATATACATATCATTTTATGCAATTGCATTTTAAATCATTTAAGGAAAGAAGACAAAATATCCAATTATACTCTAACAATTATCTACATAATTCAATTTACCAGCCTCTTTGTTTTCTCATATGGGGTTGAACACGTATCAGGAATCAGCTTGGAAATCTTTTGTTAGTGTTAATAAATATCAAGATAAATCTTCCAGCAACACATTTTCTCAATTTTTGTTTATATGAAAATGTCTATTTTTTTTTTTTTTTTTTCGAGACAGAGTCTTGCTCTGTTGCCCAGGCTGGAGTGCAGTGGTGCGATCTTGGCTCACTTCAAGCTCTGCCTCCCAGGTTCACGCCATTCTCCTGCCTCAGCCTCCCGAGTAGCTGGGACTACAGGCGCCCGCCACCACGCCTGGCTAATTTTTTCTATTTTTAGTAGAGACGGGGTTTCACCATGTTAGCTAGGATGGTCTCGATCTCCTGACCTTGTAATCCACCCACCTCTGCCTCCCAAAGTGCTGGGATTACAGGAGTGAGCCACCACGCCCAGCCAGAAAATGTCTATTTAATCTTAAGTCTTAGCATATAGTTTTGCTAGATATAAGATTCTTGGTCTCTTATTTTCTTTAATCACTTTTAATATGTCATTCCACTTTCTTCTGCCTTCTATTACTTATGATGAGCAATTAGTTTTTAATCTTATTGGAGTTTCCTTTATGTGATAAATCTATATATGAATATCAATTGGATCCTGTTGGTGAACTGTGTAGTTCATATTTTTCTATATCTATGCTAATTTTCTGACTAGTAATTCTGTCAGCTAGTGAGAAGGTTGGAATCCCCAACTATAATTGTAGATTTGTCTATTTCTTCTTTCAGTATTCTCTGCTTTTGTTCCATGTATTTTAAAATTCTGTTGGTTTATATACATTTAGGATCATTGTGTCTTCATAGTAGCTTGGCTTTTAAAAATATGTAATATCTTTCTTTGTCTTTAGTAATTTTCCTTACTCTGAAGTCTCTCCATCAGATATTAATATAGCAATTCCTGCATTATTTTGTTAATATTTGCATATTATGTCTTTTTCATGCATTTAATTTCAATTTACCTATTTTATTAAATGCAAAGTAGGTTTCTTATAAACAGCTTATGATTAGGATATTTTGAAATCTACTTTGCTAATCTCTCACTTTTTATTAATGTATTTAGATAATTTTAAAAAATAAGATGCTTCATTTTTTCCTAAGTTTTAGGTTTACAGAAAAAAAGATGAAAGAAAAAAACAGTTCCCGTATACCTCCCTGCAGTTTCTCCTATTTTTAGCATCTTACATGAGTGTGGCACATTTGTTAGAATCGATGACCCAGTATTGATACACCATTAGTTACTAAAGCCCATAGTTTATATTAAGCTTCACTCTTTGTGATTGACGTTCCATGGGTTTGGACAAATATATAATGGCATGTATCCAAAATTACTGTGTCATACATAACAGTGTTACTATTCTGAAAATCTCTTGTGTTCAATTTACTCCTAGTCCCCTTTCCCTCAAACTCCTGACAATCACTGAGCTATTTACTGTGTCTGTAATTTTTCATTTTCCAGAATGCCATGTAGTTGGAATCATAGAGAAATTAGTTCGTTAGACCTCGAACTTCGTTCTTCTCCTTCAATATTATGTTGGCTGTTCTGGATCTTTTGTCATTTCATATAAACTTTTGAACCAGTTTGTGGATATCCACTTAATAATTTGCTGGAATTTTGATTGGGGTTCCATTAAATCTACAGATCAAGTTTTGAAGAAATGACATTATGACAATATTGAGTCTTCTTATCCATGTACATAGAATATCTCTCCATTTATTTAGATCTTCTTTGATTTCTTTCATCAGTTTGTAGTTTTTTCTCACATAAACTTTGTACATATTTTATTCTATTTATACTCCATTTATTTAGATCTTTGATTTCTTTCACCAGAGTTTGTAGTTTTCTCATATAAACCTGGTACGTATTTTATTCAATTTATGCCTAAACATTTCTCTTTTCAATGCTAAAGTAAATGGTATTATGCTTTTAATTTCAAATTCCAATTGCCCATTGCTGGTATATCAGAAATCAATTGACTTTTGTACATTAACATTATACTCTACAACCTTACTATAACCACATGTTAGTTCCACAAATGTTTTGGTTGATTTTGGGGGGATTTTTTACATAAACAGTCATGCCATCTGTGAGCAGAGTCTTATTTCTTTCTTCCAAATCTGTTTAACTTTTATGTGTGTTTCACGTTTTATTGCATTAGCTAGGACCCTCAGTATGATGTTGAGTAAGGTGAGAGCAGGCATTCTTTTTTTTTTTTTTTTTTTTTTGAGACGGAGTCTCGCTCTGTCGCCCAGGCTGGAGTGCAGTGGCGGGATCTCGGCTCACTGCAAGCTCCGCCTCCCGGATTCACGCCATTCTCCTGCCTCAGCCTCCCAAGTAGCTGGGACTACAGGCGCCCGCCACTACGCCCGGCTAATTTTTTGTATTTTTAGTAGAGACGGGGTTTCACCGTTTTAGCCGGGATGGTCTCGATCTCCTGACCTCGTGATCCGCCCGCCTCGGCCTCCCAAAGTGCTGGGATTACAGGCGGGAGCCACCGCGCCCGGCCGAGCAGGCATTCTTGCCTTGTTTTTCATCTTACCAGGAAAGCATCTAACTTCTTACCAGGGAATATGATGTTAGCTGTAGGTTTCCTATAGACATTGTCACTTTGAGGAAGTTTCCCTCTATTCCTAATTTCCCGAGAGTTATCGTTAATGGATGTTGGATTTTGTCAAATGTTTTTCTGCATCTGGTGATGTGATCTTGTTTTTTTTCTTTTTCTTGTTAATGTGATGAAATATATCAGTTTATTTTCAATTGTTGAACTAGCCTTTCATAATTAGGATAAGGTCCACTTCATCATCTTTTTACACATTATTGGATCCAATTTGCTAATACTTTGTTCAGGATTTTTGCTTAATGAAAGATAGTGCTCTTTGTTTTTTCTTTCTTGTAATGTCTTTGGTTTTGGTGTATGGTAATAATGACCTCATAGAATAACTAGGGAAGCATTCTGTATGCTTCTGTTTTTTGGAAAAGATTCTGGAGAATTGTTATAATTTTTCTTTTAAGTGTTAGAATTTACCAGAGAACTCTCTGGGGCTTGGTACTTTCTATTTTATCAGCTTATTAATTATTGATTCAGTTCCTTTGATAGATATAGGACAACTCAGATTGTCTTTTTCTCCTGGTGTGAATTTTAGTAGATTGTATATTTCAAAGAAGTGCTGCATTTTATGTCGGTTATCAAACTTATGAAGTTGTTAATAATATTTCTTTATTTTTTTAAATGTTTTAATGTCCATAGTATCTATAGAGGTGGTTCTTCTTTAAATGTTGATATTAATAATTTGTATTCTTTTTCTCTCTTACTCTGGATAGAGATTTACCAATTTTATTTATCTTTTCAAAGAATCAGATTTTTATTTGTTGATTTTTTTCTATTGATTTTTCTGTCTTCAATTTTATTGATTTTTATATTTTTCTTCTCCTTATTTTGAGTCTAATTTGTTCTTCCTTTACTAGCTTCCTAAGGTGAAAAGTTAGATTATTAATTTTAGACCCTCCTTGGGATGCAACATGTATATTCAATGCTATAATTTTGGTCTAAGCATTGTTTTACTGCATTTCACACTTTCATAAGATGTAAGCAAAAATGAAAAGCTATGACCACCCTCTATAACTTACCGCAGTAGCTTTTCCATCCCCTTAATTTTTATCTCTATGGGTCTTCAAATTTAAAGTTGTATTTTCATTTTCATTTAGTTCAAAATATTTTACAATTCCTCCTGAGACTTCCTTGATCCATTTTTTATTTAGAAGTGTGATGTTACGCCTTCATGTATTTTAAAGTTTTCCAGTCATCTTTCTGAATTTGATTTCTAGCTTAATTTCACTGTAGTCATAGAGCATAATTTGCATGACTTACATGCTTTTAAATAAGTTGCTTTTTAATGGCCTAGATAGTGATGTGTCTTTGTGAACATTCCATGGGAGCTTCAGAAGCATGTGTATTCTGCTGTTGGGTGAATTATTCTACACATGTCAATTGGATTAATGTCACTGCTGACTTGAATTACAATATGTCTTCCCTAATTTTTTGCCTGCTTAATCTGCTAATTACTAGTAGAGAGATGTTAAAGTCTCAAAGTACAGTAGTAAATTCATCTATTTTTCCTTGAAGTTCTATTAGTTTTTGCCTAACATATAGTGATGCTCTGTTTTTAGGTGTGTAAACACTAAGGATTGTTATGTCTTCTTGGAGAACTGACCGCATTTTTATTATGTAATTACTCTCTTTATTTCTGATAATTCTTCTTGTTCTGAAGTGGGATGTGTCATTAATAGAGCTACTCCTGCTTTCTTTGGATTACTGTTAGCATGCTATTGTTGCCAGTGGGCTGTTTCAGGTTCTTGACTTTGCTGCACAAAAAACTTTGAGAACGAGTCCAAAGTAACAGTAAGCAAAAGAGTTTATTGCAAAGCAAAAGTACACTCTGATAGCTGATCAGAGCAGGCTGCTCAAAGGTGAGACAGCCCTGTCTGATGCAGGGGGATCGCCCTTTATGGGAGATTTACATGATTATTCATGGAGGGGTGGGAAGGGGTGTTCTGATGAGTATGTTATGGGTAGTCCCCTGGCTGCACAGGTGCTGTGGTTGTACATGCTAGGACTTAACATTGCATGTATCATTAGCATCTTAAATCTCCACCCAGGGGTGTTTTTCTTTTACTATTATAGTGAATATAGGTCAGTCCAAGGACACTAATCATGGGTTTCTGTGCTTGTGTGAATTTGGGAATTCTCCCTTCTATTTTTCTACCTCCTTGCTGCAGGATGTTCTAACCCTGAGCCCATGATGTGATTTGTGCACTGTCGGGTAGTTTATTCTCTCCATCTATTTAGCAAGTTTGTTCTCCTTTAAGGGAGGCTATGACCACCCTTTATAATTTACCTCAGTATCTTTTCCATCCCCTTAATTTTTATCTCTATGAGTCTTCAAATTTAAAATGAGCTTCTTGTAGACAGCTGGGTCTTGTTTTTTGATTTACTATGACAGTCTCTGTATTTTAATTGGTGTGTTTTAGACCATTGACAGTTAAGATGATTATTGATATAGCAATTAATATGTACCATCTGTGTTAATGATTTTTCTTTGCCGTCCTTGCTCTTAGTTATTTTTGTCGCGCATAGTTTTCTACTTTTTGTGTTTTAATTGAGCACTTTATATAATTTCATTTTCTCTCCTCCCTTAGCATATCAATTATACTTTTTTAAAGTTTTAAAACATTAGTCCTAGAGTTCGCAGTATATTTTTACAACTAATCCAAGTACACTTTCAAATGACACTATACCACTTCACAGGTAGAAGATATATTAATAACACAATATTCCTAATTCTTCCTTCCTTTCCCTTTTATCATTGCTATCTCTCACTTCATGTCTACAAAAGTATACAAAAGCATATATATATGCATACATAACCATATATTGTTGCTGTTATTATTTTGAACAAACTATTATGTCTTTGATCAATTAAGAACAAAAAAAGAATGTTTTACTTTACTTTTACTTATTAATTCATTGACTCTCTTCTTTTATTTATGTAGATTGGAGTGTCTGACCTACATCATTTTCTTTCTGAACTTCCGTTAACATTTCTTGCAAGGTAGGTCTACCAGTAACAATGCCTTCAGGTTTTATTTGTCTGAGAAGAACTTTAGTTCTTATTACTTTTGAAGGATAATTTTACAGGGTGCAGAAATCTAGGCTGGTGGTTTTTCTCTCAACCTCACTCTTCTTGCTTGCATGGTTTCTAAGAAAATTTAAGAAGTAATTCTTATTTTTGCTCCTTTATATGTAAGGTATTTTTCCTCTCTGGCTTCTTTCAAGACTTTTTTTTTTCTTATTTTTGATTTTCTGAAGTTGAATATGAAATGCCTAGGTGTAATTTTTCTTTTCATGTATCCTGTTTGGTGTACTCTGAGCTTTCTTGATCTCTGGTTTGGTGTCTGACACTAGTTTGGAAGGAATTTTCAGTCATTATTGTTTCAAATATTGCTTCCATTTTTTTCTCTCTTTCCTGTCCTTTTAAAATTCCCAATATATATATTAACTCCTTTTGTAGTTTTGTTACTGTTCTTTGATATTCTATTCTGTTTTTACTGAGTAATTTTTTTCCTTGCTCTTTAGTTTTGGAAATTTCTATTATCATATCATCAAACTCAAAGATTCTTTTCTGGCTATGTCCAGTCTATTAATGAGCCCATCAAAGCCCTTCTTTATGTCTATTACAATGTCTTTGATCTCCAGCACTTCTTTTTTGATTTTTTTCTTTGTATCCCCATCTCTCTGTTTACATAATTCATCTGTTCTTGCATGTTGTCTGTTTACTAGAGTCCTTAGCACATTAATCACAATTATTTAAAATATCTGCTTTGATAATTCCAACATTCCTGCCATACTTGACTCTGCTTATGATGCTTGTTCATACTTTTCAAACCGTTTTTTTCTTTGCATTTCAGTCTATCTTGGAATTTTTTTTTGTTGAAAAGTGAACACAATGTACTAAGTAAAAGCAGCTATAGTAAATAGGCCTTTAGTAATGTAGTGATAGAGTGTAAGGGGAAGGGGAGCATTCTATAGTCCTATGATTACGGCTCAGTCTTTTGGTGAGACTGTGCCCCTTGACTGTGAACTTCATCAGTGCTTCTCAGTTCCTCCCCGACTTTAGATGAGACATAATGGCTGAAGGGAGGACGAAGTTGTATATTTCCCTTTTTCCATGTGGAAATCTAAAAGGGATTGTAGTTGAGTGTTTCTCTTCCCCCACATGAAAGGCCAGAAGGAGATGGAGTTATTTATTCCCTTTTGTGCATGTGGAAGGCTACAGCCAGTTGAGTATTTTCCTTCTGTCACATATAGTAGGCTCTGATAAAACCCCAGCAGATTAGGCCCTAGTAAAATAGTTTCTCCTGGTGCAGGTCTTGTGAAAAAGAACTGAATACTCCAGCATGTTTCCAAATGGTTCCTTTCCCCTTCCTCCTGCCAGAAGCATGAGGACATTTTTTCCAACATTCACTGAGAACCTAGTAGAGTTTCTGGAGGCATAATTCACAAAAGTATGGAGACCTTCAATGAGTGTACCCACTTGAAGTTTTTAACTTTCAGAGTTGTTCACATTGAGCTCCAGCAATTTGTTAATTACAGTTTCAGGTTTTTCTACTTCAGCACTGGTGATTTTTTTGTGTGTGTTTTTTTGTTTTTTGTTTTTTCTTTGGTGGAGTTTTGCTCTGTTGCACAAGCTGGAGTACAATGACATGATCTTGCCTCACTGCAATCTCCACCTCCCGGCTTTAAGCAATTCTCCTGCTTCAGCCTCTTGAATAGCTGGGATTACAGGTTCCCGCCAACATGCCCAGCTAATTTTGGTATTTTTAGTAGAGATGGGGTTTCACCGTGTTGGCCAGGCTGGTCTTGAACTCCTGACCTCAGGTGATCTGCCCACCTTGGCCTCCCAAAGTGCTGGGATTACAGGCGTGAGCCACTATGCCCAACCCAGCACTGGGTCTTATGGAGATTTCTGCTCATCATTTCTGCATGAGTTAAGTTTTGCTTCTATGTATCTGCCTGTCTGTCTCTCCAATTTGGGGGTCCTTGGTTTGCTCTCTGATCTCATTTCCATGACAGATCTGAGAAGAGGTGTTGAGTTTTTTGTTTGTTCAACTTTTTACTAGTTGTTAGGATAAAGTATGACTATCAAGCTCCTTACATACTGGTTTAGAACCAGAAGGTTTTCCTCTCATGTTTGAAGGACAGTTTTGCTAATTATAAAATTTCCAGTTGACAATTTTGTTCCTCTGCCTACACTCCTTTTGTTTTATCATACTTGGTGTTCATTGAGATTCTTGGATTTGCATATACATGTCTTAAAAATTTGGGAAATTTTTGATCCTTATGTTACCAGAAAGGAGTCCCGATACAGACCCCAAGAGAGGGTTCTTAGAGCTTACACGATAAAGAATTCAGGGCGAGTCCACAGTGCAAAGTAAAAGCAAGTGGTGAAAGAACAGCTACTCCATAGACAGAGTAGGACATTCCTGAAAGTGAGAGGAAGAACACATCCATCCTAGGTACGATGGTTGCATATATGGGGAGATGTGCTCTCCTACAAGAGTTTTTGATAAAGGATTAATTTTCTTAATTACCATATTTTGCAAGAATCAATATTATTATCTTTAATGCAAAATTAGGAATGCCCTTATTCTCCAGATATTGAGATATCTGGACACTCCCAAGTCTGGGTCTGTTTTAGTAAGCATCATTAATTTGTTCACTGATTCATAAACATCTAGAAGCTAGGAAAATGCCTAATTTTCTGAGAATGCAGTCCAGCAAGTCTCTGCCTCATTTTCCTAGCCCTCACTCAAAATGGAGTCGCTCTGGTTTGAACGCCTCTGACACTTATGTTGTCATATAAATCACTGCCTCCTTCTTTCTCTCTTCTGTTTCTGGAACTTCTGTAATGAATAATTGGACTACTCAATGATGACTCTTAAATACCTTAGACTCTATTCACTTCTTTTTTTTTTTTTTTTTCCTTTTTGGTCCTTAGACTCACTACTTTTAAATAATCTTTTTTTTTGTTTGCTGCTTCTTTCCACTGCCTGCTAAAGTCTTCTGTTAAAGCTGTCTCATAAATTTTTCAATTCACTTACCATATTTTTCATCTCCAGAATTTCTTGTTGGTTCTTTTAAAATAATTTCTGTCTCTTTGTTGATATTCTCCTTTTGTTCATATATTATTTTCTTCACTTTTTAGTTATTTGTCTATGTTTTTCTTTAGATCCTTGAGCATAAGATAGTTGTTTAAAAGTCTTTGTCTAGTATTTCAAATGTCAATGTTTCTTCAGGGACAGTTTCTGCAGCTGTATTTTCTTCTTTGCTTGGGCCATGGCTTTCTTGTCTCTTTGAACACCTTGTAATTTGTTATTGTTATTGTTATTGTTATTGTTATTGTGGAAAATGGGGCATTTAGAAAAAAAGGCATTTCCTCTCCCAATGTTTGCAGACTGAGTCTGTGTAGGAAAAGCTCTTCAATAATTAGAAGGGCATGTTCTTTGACTTTAGATCAGCCTGGTCTGAAGGCTTTCATCTTCTGTGGTCTTTTATCAGACTTCATTTTCTCTGGGCCTGTGTGTGCTTTTATTTATTTTTTCCTTGTGTATACAGCCTTTTAGAAAATGTCTTAATTTCCCTAGGGGTCATAGCCCTGCTTCTTCTCAGAGTCAAGAATATTCTATTTTATTCCTCTATCTGTAATCTCATGCTCCAGGCATTTGCAGGTCTATCATGCATCTCACAGCAGCATTCACGAGCTATGTCTGTTGTCTCTCATTGGTTTTCATAGCCTGAGATCTGAGCTGTTCTGATCTTTGCTGTCTGACCTATGAGTTAGAAACAACAGAGACTAATCCAACATGGAGCTCCCAGACAGGTTAGAACATTTCAAATAAAGTCTGGTTTACCCTTCCAGTTCCAGGGAAGGAATTGGAAGCTCAGCTATCACTTTCCTAAGACCATTCTGTGCAGTTCCAGGGATGGGATGTGGCAAAGCCAAGTAAAAATGCCACACAATTTTCAACTGCTTTGGAAGTGGCTCCGTTTTGTTTGGATGTTCATGTGTTTTCTGTAAACCTTGAGCTGTTTTCCATAGTTCTTAAATGTCAGTTTAACCAATTTGTAGTTTTTTCTTTAATGTTTCCATGGGGGACAAAGTTCTAAAGTTTTCTAGTCTGCCATTTTTCTGACATCACTGAGATTAATTTTATGCCCCAGCATATGTTTTTTTCTAGGTAAATATTCTGTGTACATTTAAAAAAAATGTGTATCTGACAGTTGGTATTTGAAATTTTCTATACATGTCAATTAGGTCAAGTGGTAATGCTGGTCAAATCTTTTACACTCTTACTGAATTTTTGTCTTCTTGTTGTAGAAGTTTTTGATATAGGGGTATAAAAATGTCTGACTAGGCCAGGCGTGGTGGCTCATGCCTGTAATCCCAGCACTTTGGGTGGCTGAGGTAGGTGGATCACCTGAGGTCGGGAGTTCAAGACCAGCCCGGCCAACATAGTGAAACCCCATCTCTACCAAAAATACAAAAAATTAGCTGGGCGTGGTGGTGGGTGCCTGTAATCTCAGCTACTCAGGAGGCTGAGGCAAGAGAATCGCTTGAACCTGGGAGGCGGAGGTTGCAGTGAGGCGAGATTGCACCATTGCACTCCAGCCTGGGGAACAAGAGTGAAACTCAGTCTCAAAACAAACAAACAAACAAAAATCTAACTGTAATTGTGGAAAGAAAAATGTTTATTTTTCTTATAATCTTTATATTTTGCTTCATGTATATTGAATGTACATGACTTGTTATATAAACATTTAGGTTTTTTATTTCTCTTGACAAACTGACCCTTTTGTTATTTTGAAATGACTTTATCTCTAGTAATACCCATTCAACTGAAATTTACTTTGTGTGATACTACTATAGTCACTCCAGATTTCTTTGAGGTAGTGTTTATTATATATTTTTTCGTCTTTTTACTTGTGTTTTTCCATTTAAAGTATGTTTTTTTGGAGGCAGAATACTGTTAGCTTTTGCTTTCTTTGAATCTAATCTGTCAATATTAGAGTTTTTGGGCAATTGATACTAATGTGATTATTAATATGGTTAGATTTAAGTTTATTTTCTTAAAATGGTTTTTCATTTGTTCCCTCTGTGCTTTGTTACTTTTTCTCTTTTTTAGCCCTTTTTAAAGGATAATTGAGAATTTCTTTAAGAATTTCATCTTATCTCTTTGATTGGCTTATCAGCCTTTACTCTTTGTTGGCATATTTTAGTGGTTGGTTTAGGGTATGTAGCATATATTTTTAACTTTTCACAGTGTATATTCAAGTTATAGTATATTACTTCACATATAAAATTTTTGAATAGCATACTTCCATTTTTCTCCTCATAGGCATTGTGCCATCACTGCCATAAATTTGACTTCTACATGTGTTATAAACCTCATGCTATATTGTTATTACTGTTACTTAGACAATTATATTTTAAAAATACTTAAATAATAAGAAAAACATTCCAGAATTTTATTCATGTAGTTACCATGTCCAGTGTCCCACAGTCCTTTGTATGCATTTATATTTGCATCTAGTATCAGTTTTTCAATTTTCTTCTGCCTAAAAACTTTCTTTAACATTTATTGTAAAGTGGCTATGTTGGAGATGAATTATTTCAGGTTTTCTAAGTCTGAAAAATGTCTTTATTTTCATTTTTTAATGTTTTTTTCACTGCTTCTAGAATTTTAAGTAGAAATATTCTTACTTTAAGTACTTAAATAAAATTTCTAGTTATATCATACAATGATTAGATTTTTTAAAAATATTTTTTCACATGTACTTTGAAGTTTTTAATTTCTGTTTGTACAATGCTGCCATTATAATGGCACTTAAATATCACTACAACCCAAGCATTTTTCTGAGTGTCCAGTACGTATCCATTCACTTAATGTTCACAGGAAGATTTGGAGGCATGCCCTGTTATTATCCCCACTTAAGAGGCCAAGAGAGTACTTGCCCAGAGTTGCTCAGTTAGTAAAACATGTTCCATAGGTGAATAAAACTTTGCCTTTGCAAACTTTAAATGTTGAAAGATAGGTTTAAAGGGTGATTATTGTTATTATTTTTTAACTTTTATTTTAGGTTCGGGGTACATGTGCTGATTTGTTAGGTAGATTACACATCATGGGGGTTTGGTGTACACATTATTTTGCCACCCAGGTAATAAGCACAGTACTAGATAGGTAGTTTCTCAGTTGTCACCGTCTTCCCTCCCTTTACCCTCAAGTAGGCCCCAGTGCCTGTTGTTCCCTTCTTTGTGTCCATATGTACTCAGTGTTTTGCTCCCACTCATAAGTGAGAACATGCGGCATTTGGTTTCCTGTTCCTGTGTTTGTTTGCTTCGTATAATGGCCTCCAGCTCCATCCATGTTGCTGCAAAGGACATGATCACGTTCTTTTTTATGGTTGTGTAGTATATTCTGTGGTGTATATGCACCACATTTTCTTTCTTTCTTTTTTTTTTTTTCGAGCGGGAGTCTTGCTCTGTCACCCGGGCTGGAGTGCAGTGGTGCGATCTCGGCTCACTGCAAACTCCGCCTCTGGGGTTCACGCCCTTCTCCTGCCTCAGCCTTCCGAGTAGCTGGGACTACAGGCGCCCACCACCACGCCTGGCTAATTTTTTGTATTTTAAATTGAGACGGGGTTTCACCGTGTTAGCCAGGATGGTCCCCATCTCCTGACCTCGTGATCCACCGGCCTCCACCTCCCAGAGTGCTGGGATTACAGGCGTGAGCCACCGCGCCGGGCCTATGCACCACATTTTCTTTATTCAGTCTACCATTGATGGGCATTTAGCTTGATCCCATGTCTTTGCTATTGTGAATAGTGCTGCAATGAACATACACATGCCTAGGTCTACCATTCTCATTACTGGGTAGAATAGTAATTCTGTTTTGAGTTCTTTGAGAAATCACCAAACTGCTTTTGACACTGACTGAACTAATTTACATGTCCACCAGTAGTGTCTAAGCATTCAAAATGGTGACTTTTTGTTTGTTTGTTTTTGAGAAAGTCTCACTCTGCTGCCCAGGCTGGAGTGCAGTGGTGCGATCTCGGCTCACTGCAACCCCTGCTTCCTGGGTTCAAGTGATTCTCATGCCCTAGCCTCCCAAGGAGCTGGGATTACAGGCATGCACCAACACGCCTGGCTAATTTTTGTATTTTTTGTGGAGAAGGGGTTTCACCATGTTGGCCAGTCTGGTCTCGAACTCCTAACCTCAAGTGATCCGCCTGCCTTGGCTTCCCAAAATGCCAGCATTACAGGCATGAGCCACTGCACGCAGCCTCAAAAGTGTGATTTTTTAAAGAGCAAATAAAATACATCAAAATTAACTTATATCTGAAAAAAAGAAACTTAATAGACCAGTACTTTGATATGTGATTCAACTAGAGCTTTCATAAAAAAACTTTAGGCTCCCTAAAATGGCTCTTTATTGGATTAGTACAATTGGCTGAATTTTTGTTTAAGGGTAAAATTTGCCCAAGAATGTAGGGCTTTAAAATTTATTTGCCGGCAGGGTGTGGAGGCTCACGCCTGTAATCCCAACACTTTGGGAGGCCGAGGTGGGCGGATCACGAGGTCAGGAGATCGAGAGCATCCTGGCTACGGTGAAACCCCGTCTCTACTAAAAATAAAAAAAAATTGGCCGGGCGCGGTGGTGGGCGCTTGTAGTCCCAGCTACTCTGGACGCTGAGGCAGGAGAATGGCGTGAACCCGGGAGGCGGAGCTTGCAGTGAGCTGAGATCGCACCACTGCACTCCAGCCTGGATGACAGAGCGAGACTCCGTCTCAAAAAAAAAATACACACACACACACACACACACACACACACACACACACACACACACTCTCAGCCGGGCGTGGTGGCGGGCGCCTGTAGTCTCTCACACACACACACACACACACACACACACACACACACACACACACACTCTCTTAGCCGGGCGTGGTGGCGGGCGCCCGTAGTCCCAGCTACTCGGCAGGCTGAGGCAGGAGAATGGCCTGAACCCGGGAGGCAGAGCTTGCAATGAGCCCAGATGGCGCCACTGCACTCCAGCCTGGGTGACAAAGCAAGCCTCCTTCTCAAAAAAAAAAAAATAAAGAACAAATCATATGAAACAAAAAAATAGCAGTTCTAACATGAATGTGAATCTGTATTTAATGGCAACTACACTTAGGTGTTTATGAGAGAATATTACAATTTCATAAATTTACATTGAACACTTAAGAAAAGAAACATATTGGCACAAAACTCTTTGAACCATGAAAAGTCCACTTTATTCAATATTTATGTGGAAATTATTCTGGCATAACTTCATTCTACACTGCTACAACAGGAAACTATAGGAACATAAGGACAAAATGCCAACATTTAACTGCAGCCTTTCCTGGGAAACATAATATGTTTAAATAGCCTTTAGAGACAAAGAAAAGTCTATTTAATTTATGGCATGAAAAGAAATGTGACAACAAAGCATTTTGTAGTCATGGTTATCAGTCTTTGAAAAAGTTCTTAATAGGATTTGGGTTTATTTTAATTAATGAAAATAAAATATGAATAATTTATTGAACTCAGTATATTATAGCAGTGGGAACTTCTCATAAATTATTCTCAGATAATTTTCACAAGCTAATCAAAAAAGACATAATTCTGTTTATTATGAAAAATGGGATCCAAGGTTTCGAGAGAACTTTCGTGTCTTGCTATTGTTTCTAAAGTCTCCCTCCAGACCATCTCATTTCTGAGTCACAGACTTTCCTAAATAACAAGTGCAGCCAAATATGTTATCACTTCAGGGTCATTTTTGTTTGTTTGTTTTCTCCCTTTCTCTCTCTCTTTTTTTGTATCCTTATACCCGGCAGCAGTTTCTTTGAAAATTTGGACCAGAAGGTGCATAACAAGTTGTTCTGCAGAAGTTCTTATCTGATATTCTTAGGGAGCTATCCTGCATGTAATCTTCATTTTTTTTTTCTCTACCATCATGTAGGCATACTCAGTGTAGACTACCACAATCCTGGATACCTCTCTGCTTAGATTTACAATCTCTGCTAAGATTTGCCACTGCAGAAAGTGTAGTAGTTTCACTACATATGAAAAAAAAGACTGCCTTCTAACTGCGTACTTATTTCTAGCTTCTAGATTGCACATTTACAGTGTTTGCAAAAGCAATAACTATTCTTACCGGTAGGAGATGAATTACACACTCCTTCTTCTTCTATAATAAGAGTTATCTACCTTCTGGTCAAAGTGCTTCCTTAAGGCACTTCGAAGCTCATCTGCTGGCAGGCATGAAGCATGCTGTTCCCCTGAGCCTTCACGAACTGGATCTACTCAAGACAAAACAGTCTCTGCTTCATTATATTCAGAAATTCAGGCTTGCCATGAGGCTGTTTAGTGTTCTGAAACACAAATGCTGGCAAATCAAAAATTCTCCCAAACACGTATCTACCAATTTTTGCTCCGTAAATAGGAACAGTATTTTCTCATATCCTTAGATTAGCTGAGTTAAAAAGATGCCCCAAACATTGAGTCCCATTATTTTAAGCTTGAAGTTTTATAATTATAGCTTTATCCTTGCCCCATGAGAGACGCATTCTCTATCAAGCCATTCAAGCAAGGATCAGTTTTCAGTTTAGATAAAACTACAAAATGAATAAATTCACTTCTGACATTTAATTAATGCCTTTCTTTACTCTCTCCTACCCCTACACTCCACCCCTTATAGTACTTGCCTCCTCTCATTCTCCCCATCTCCAGCCCAAATCCAGATGACTTCTGCTATATTAAAGTTTGCTTTCAGGAAAAGATCTGAAATCCGTAAGCGGTTTCATACTAAATATTAGCACACTTCAATGGTAGAACATTGATTTGCTGAAGTCTGGGGTTGATTTCCTAGCCCCTAAAATCACATTCTAACTGTGACTACGTGTTCTTTCTATAAGTTTAACATAGATTTAGGGTGAGACTTATCTTTTTATATAAACGAAAATATTTGGGAGAATGCTTTCTTTGTTTCTTTCTTTTTTTTTTTTTTTTTTTTTTTGAGACAGAGTCTTGCTCTTTCACCCAGGCTGGAGTGCAGTGGCGTGATCTCGGCTCACTACAAGCTCCGCCTCCGGGGTTCAAGCGATTCTCCTGCCTCAGCCTCCCAAGTAGCTGGGACTACAGGCACTCACTACTATATCCGGCTAATTTTTTGTATTTTTAGTGGAGATGAGGTTTCACCATGTTAACCAGGATGGTCTCGATTTCCCGACCTTGTGATCTGCCCACCTCGGCCTCCCAAAGTTCTGGGATTACAGGCATGAGCCACCGCACCCAGCCAAGAATGTTTCTTTCATACGTGAGCACATAGGGTATTTCATGTATTAGCATTAATGTTCCTTATCAAATATGCAATCAGGGGCTCTCTATAGAATCAATTTCAATAAAACAGTTAAGCAATTTTTTAATGGAGTAGGCATTGATTATAATTTTCTCCTCTTCTGACTTTTCAATTCTTCCCAATTAGCCAGTGATAAGAAACTGGAAAGAAAATTTCAAATTGTTTACCATTCACTTGTTTTTTTTAACCTACTGTAGTTTGGAAGGATTAAATTTTAGGCTAGCTGATTCATTTCACAAAAAAATTTATAAAATTTATAATTCATTTCACACAAAAAAAGTTTTAATAAAAAATATTTCCCTTTGTATTTGAGCTCAACTTAATTCTCAATTGGCCCTGAAATGTGAGAATTGTTTTCCTAAAATATTGATGGATGTCAGAAGGCCACAAGAAGTGAGACCTCATCTTTTTTGCTCTATGAGAACATCAATCTTTCTATTTCTGTGAAAAATAAGGAAAGGTAGGTGGACTCTGGTGATTTCCTGATGTTGAAGTTAATAAAAAGCTCCATTCAAAACTACGATATTCGGCACAATTAATCTTCCCTGTTAATATAAACAGAAGAAAGAGTAAACTATTTGATCTCAAAGCTCTGGTTTAATTTCTAGCAAGTACGATTACTTCGGTTCATAATTTAAAAAATGAAAGCTTTAGATTTCTATTCCAAGCCATTACTTGATAAATCATTCATTAAAGAACATGAATGCACAAAACAAAAATAAACTTTTTTTTTAAAATTTGGTAAGTGTCAGTGTTCTAGGATGTGCTGGCCATTCTTTGTGGAGGTCCTCAGAACCACCCTCTACCCTTCCAGCCCCAGTGTCACCCTTCCTGCCCGAGTGTCACCCTTCCTGCCCGAGTGTCACCCTGCTCCCCTCCCAGCTGACTTCCAGTTGGTTTTGGCTAATGAGAGACACCCACAGAAACAGTAAGGTTTCAGAAGTCAGAGCTCAAAAAGTTTCTTCCCTACTCACTCCTGTTTCCAGGTTCTGACAAGAAAATTCTTTTACTTCTATGACTGTGGCTCCTGCCAGACCTTTGTGTTCCCCGGCTGCTGCCTTCTGGGGATCTGGCAGCAACCGTTCCTCCCTCTGCGCCTCTGCTGTAGGTAGTAAAGGCTTTCTGCTAGTGCTTGTCTTTGGTTGCCACAACGTCACCTGGTGGGTCCCTTCACTTTTCTTTACAGCCTGTTCCTTTAAACTATCTGAGCAAATCATGCTTTCTTTCTGGGCCTTGACTAATGCAGTAGTGCATTTTAAAAATCTGACTAATATCACATTGCATTGCTTAGAAAAATATCATAAGAAAAATAATTCTTTGAGAAGTAGCATATTTGTGAAAGTAGATCTATTTAGGAATTAAAATGCTATTAGATTGGCAGGCAAATGTTATATTTTTGTATTCTCACTCTATTTTCTAGAACTGAAAACTAAGTTCTAGCTTAGACTGCAATGCACACGGTATACTACAAAGAGAGACGATAAAATTGCAGGATGAGAGTATAAAGTACAAGGTAAAACCTTATTGAAACAAAATAAGCACAACTCTATGTACAGGTTGTATGTGTTTATATATAAGAGCCAAGGCCGGGTGTGATGGCTCACGCCTGTAATCTCAAGACTTTGGGAGGCCAAGGCGGGTGGATCACTTGAGCTCAGGAAGTTCGAGACCAGCCTGGGCAACATGGAAAAACCTTGTCCCTACCAAAAATACAAAAACTTAGCCGGGTGTGGTGGCACTCACTTGTTCTCCCAGCTTCTCAGGAGGCTGAGGCACAAGAATTGCTTGAACCTGGGAGGCAGAGGTTGCAGTGAGCGAAGATCACACCACTACTGCACTCCAGTCTAGGCGACAGAGCGAGACTCTGTCTCAAAAAAAAAAAAAAGAAGAAGAAGAAGAGCCAAAACAAGGATACATAAGGATACATACCAGCCTGTCAGCCTGTTATGTATCATTGGTTACCTCAGTGGGGTTGGGGTGATGGTAGTGGCAATTATTAACATTTTCTTTATACAATTCTTTTAAAAATGTTCCTTTTGTAATTCAAAATATTCAAGAACAAATTTCAAAAGAGTCTGTCTTAACAAACATTTACATTCTTATAATCCAGAAGCTAGTCATCAAACACACCTCAGTATCATCATTTGTTCCAATATAAATATACTCACTTCCTAAATATGTGCTACTGCAAAGTAGATCTTATTCCTTTCTTATTCTGGTTGAATCATACAACCATTATCCAGATTGAAATAAAAAATATAATTGTATTTATTATCCATGTTAAGGTTAAATAGAAGGTAAGAAGTTTCAAAGTTTAAATTGCATTATCATGGAAAGTAGGGAAGAAAGGAAATAAAGCAGCAACACATAAAACATTTATATTTGTGATATTCGATATTTTTTCTGGGACATCCAGTGTTCTAGTTACATCGGCCATCTCGAATTCATGCCTTCATTTGTTCAGTAAGTGTGTAGTGTGTGATGATTGTGACGGATGCTTCTCTACTAGGCAAAGTAATTTTTAGAGCCTCACTACTCTTAGTCTGCAAAGTTCATTGCCAGCATTATCACCACAGCAAGTGTCTATGCTGATTTAAATAATAACCATATAGCAGCAATTATAGCCACATAAAATGCATTTCAAGACACACATTTATGTCTAAGGACTTCAAGTCCCCTAACCAAACAACTTAAGTAGAATAAACCTAAATAAGTTTTAAGTCAAAAGCAGGGGAATCAAAACAATTACAAGCCTCCTGTCTTAGAAGAAAATGATGATGCTTATTGGCTTAACCATATAAAATAGTGTATATACGTTTACTAGACATGAACAATTTGGAACAAATTTTGAGTGTACCTATAAGTGTGTAAAATGTATATTTTATGTATTGGGAATAATATTCATAAATATATTCCTCCAATGTTGTAAAAAATGCATGCACCCTCACTACGCTAGTGATTTTACAGTTTAATGAAGCCATTTTGTTTTAATTGCAAATGTCTACCACCGTAGAAGTTTCTTGGCTTTTCTCCATTAAGCCTAACACTTTGAACACCCAAGTTCACTTTTTTTTTTTTTGTCTTGAGACGGAGTCTGGCTCTGTCGCCAAGCTGGAGTGCAGGGCGCAATGTTGGCTTGCTGCAACCTCTGCCTCCCGGGTTCAAGAGATTCTCCTGCCTCAGCCTCCCGAGTAGCTGGGACTACAGGCAGGCACCACCACGCCCGGTTAATTTTTTGTATTTTAATAGAGACAGGGTTTCACCGTGTTGGCCAGGATGGGCTCCATCTCCTGACCTCTTGGCCTCCTCGGCCTCCCAAAGTGCTGAGATTACAGGCATGAGCCACCGCACCCGGCCAAGTTCACATTTTTAAAGACTCCATCTGATGCCTGACAAATTGGTATAATAATAGATTGACATTTGTTGTTTTACTCTAGGTCCAATTTAGAAGATGATTTCCATTTTCTCTCTTTCTGTCTCACTGAAGGCAACTGATCTGTCAATCAAAACTTTAGATTTATAAGATTTATAATTTTTTCTGTAATAAAAGACGTGCTATTTACAGAGTTCTTGTGCAAAAGTAGTTTAAGTGAACCCAATTAATAATTCAAGAATGACTTTGTAAGATTCTTCATCTATTACATTTGAATTCATTTTACATTTTACATTTTACATCTATTACATTTGAATTCATTTTAATGAAAAAGCCTTTCAAAGTTGTCTTTCCAAAGGGAAGATTAATACACTATTTCTTAGAGATACCATCTAAAAAAGTTAGTATCTTTCTTTCTTTTTTCTTTTTTGGAAACTCGCGGTGGTGGTAATGTGAGTGAGTTTGTCAATCTTTGCCCCTACTGTGAATTTGAGAAGCAGAGGAAGAGAAAAAGAGAAAGACCCCCCCGCCCCCTGCCTCCCGCCTCCCGCCTCCGCCCCTCCCTCTAGCACACAGCAGGCGCGCAAGGAGTGCAGTGTTAGCTGCTGCTGGACTGAGCTCCTCATCCTACACTTGCAGGGGTTGCTCTTTTGGACAGAAAGCTGGAATAAAACGTAAATTTTAGACATCCACCAAGGCCAGGACTAGGGTGAAGGGACTAACGCACTAGTCTCAGGAGCAACTGTTAAGTAACGCTAATCCTGAATGAATGAAATAGTTTTAAAATTGAATGTAATCGCAAAGAAAAAAAAAACCCATGATAGACAAAATATTAAAACTTTAAATAAAGGCTTGCACTCGCACAACCCAGGCTCACCGGCCTCTCCCTGCTCCTGGCCCGGTTTCCCAGCTTGGTTCTCTACAAGTCAGAATTCCTAGCAAAATCAAAGTGTGCGCGCGTCTGCCCGAGTACACGCCGCAGAGTTATTTCTGCCCCATCTTCCCTATTTGAACTCAAACAGGACAGGATTTTCCTGGGTGCAGCCCCTGCGTTGGGTGAACAGCGGAGTGATAAAGCCTGGCGTTCTCCACCTGCAGGCGGAGGCTGACGGCGCGGTCTTCGGAGCGAGTCCGTGCACCACGGCCGCCCCGCCCCGGTGGGAGAGAGGGACGGAGGAAGCTGCCGGTATAACGGGAGGAGAGCGCCAGGCGGAGCTGGGGCGTCCCTCCCGCTCGCTTCTTGACTCGCGTTGCTGCCGGCCGCCTCCCGCGCCTAGTGTCCGGGACGCGCCTGAACCTGCCGCCTCCGTGCCTGGGGCGGCGCCGCGCGGCCCCGAGCGCTCCAGAAAGCTGCGGTGCGAGTCCGCGGGGCCGACCTCGGAGACGCAGCTGGGGCCGGGCGCGGCTTGGCGGGAGGGTCTGCAGCGCCGAGGGAGGCTGCTAGTGCGTGAGGAAGAGAGCTAGAGACTGGACAGGGGAGACAGAGCAGCGTCAGAGCCGCGCAGGGGACGGGAGTGAGAGCAGGAGCGACGCAGAGCAGCCGTCGCCGTGCCCGGGTCTCAGGGCGCCTGGCTGAAGTGAGCATGGCTTCAGTGGCCTGGGCCGTCCTCAAGGTGCTGCTGCTTCTCCCCACTCAGACTTGGAGCCCCTTGGGAGCAGGAAATCCACATAAGTACAGCAAATGGTTTAAAACTTGCGCTAGGCTGTCTGGAAAACTTTGTTTTTTTTTTTTTTTTTATTATCGGTAATATTTGGAAGTGGAATTGCAGAACATGCTCCTGAACATGAAGTACCTTAAAAAAATATTTGGAATTGCAACCCGAAAAAGACGATTTTGTTTACAATAGACTTTCCTCTTGTGGGGGAGTCTAAGATATACCATGCATGTTTTGAATTTTTAATCGATGTACTTGAATATTCATTGAGAAAGTGGACGTTTCTGTAAAACCTGAAAAGAGCATCTTAATAAGAGATTAGCCTGCAAATGCTGTCATTTATTCCTTTTTAGGATTGTAATATTTTGTAGGAATTAAGTCTAACAGGGAAAAAACTGGCAGACATTACATCATACTGCATCAACTTAGATGTTAGCAGCTTACAGTTTTGCCGACCTTGGCAGCTTCAGAGTTAAAATGCTAATTAACTTCCATGCAGTATAGGGACAGAGCGCCTGTAGGCGAAACTAAATTAATAACCTGCCCTAACTACTAAGGGAATAACACTTGAACACCCCTGTCAGGGGCTTCGTTTCTCATAGTAGAAAGTTCTTGCTTAAAGACAAAACTCAGCCAGTCATTTAGGTAATCTTGAAAATGATTCCTCTCTGGATGCTAATATTTTACATTATTTAATTTGCCATCAGGTTCCCTGTTTTTTATTTTCCTTAATTTGGTAAACACCTAGGAAGCCTTTATTTCTAGAATGGGCTATGATTCTAATGTAATGATGATATTCCAGACCGATGAGCAAAACATAATGTACCCATATTTTATCACACATAAAAATGTTTACACAACATTGCACATTTTTTTTTGGCTTGGAGTAAATCTCTATCAGAGAGCTTTCTTTCTTGATTAATCAAACCATGAGATTAGAATTTTTAAAATGTCTTCCTCTTCCTTCTCAAATCACTTTTATTTTTCTTTCAGTGGCATCTCCCCGCTGTCAGCCTCAGCCCTCTCCTACCAAAATCTCTTTCGAAATAAGTTCCAATAAACGCCAGTGGCCATGTTTGGAAATTTAGATTATTGCAGGATAACCAAGGGTAGCTTTCAGCAGTTCTCCTAAACTGTCATGAAAAGTTTGCCGTAGCTCAGTGCTGTTCTGCCCGCGGGCTCAAGGGTGGGTTGGTTCTTCACACACAGGGCACGCACATGGGTTCATGAACTCACTGTGCATCATGATTCAGTTGCGCCTCAGTTAATCCTACACTTGGTGTGCCCTTCCAAAAAACAAGCTCCGGATTCCTTTGGTCAGATGCTGTACCGTGTTTCAGATTCAACTTTAATCTGCTTTTGTGAGAAGCCTTTGTGAATAAAACGTTGTTACTTAAATCAAAATCCTTGGGTCTTGTAATGGAAACTGCCGTTTGGCTT
This sequence comes from Homo sapiens, assembly GCF_000001405.40. Classification (NCBI taxonomy): domain Eukaryota; kingdom Metazoa; phylum Chordata; class Mammalia; order Primates; family Hominidae; genus Homo; species Homo sapiens. The sequence continues at coordinate 61,121,092 of NC_000009.12, read as the reverse complement.
AAATAAACATATAAATGAGTTACTTATAGAAAGGCATGCTAGAGTAATTGACCAATCAACTGGCAAAATACAACAACAAAAAAAGTCACTAGAGGTCACTCTTACTATTGAATAAACAGGGCTTCAAAAAGACCTTCCTGGAGAAAAGCAAAGCAATGAAATCTGAGTGAGACCCTGCCACCACCTTTCCTGTTTTTGTTGCATAGTTGTGATTACTTTTTATTCTCAGGATTAGTTGTATTGATAGTTATTTTGCTTGGAATCCAGTGGAAGGATTACAAAGCCCATAGAAATTAAGCTCTTCTCGTTTATAGTGAACATTCTTTTTGGAGGAGGGGAGGGCAGGGACAGATATTCCAAATGGACTCAGCACCAGACGGGACTCTCGCGAGTTGCTGAGTGACACGTAAAATTTCAATACTACTACTGTGGGTGTTTTCAGTCTTCTTTCGTTGATGAAACTTAGTATCCTCATATCTAATAAATTTTACTAATTTTAAATTACCTTTTAGATCAAGTAATTCTTCCAGATAAAACTATGTAACTGTAATAATTATACCACCTTCAATACCAAGAAGAAAGTCAATAAGGACATCTAAAAGTTTCCTTCTCATGTAGACACCATGAGTTGCTCACGTTATTCACAGCTGGTTTTCGAGAAGCACGTTGGCCACCCACGAAGGCAGCCTGTTGATGATGGCATGAAATGGCTCTTCATGGGAAGAGCTCTATAGGCCGGGCACAGTGGCTCGCGTCTGTAATCCCAGCACTTTGGGAGGCCGAGGTGGGTGGATCACCTGAGGTCAGGAGTTCGAGACCAGCTTGGCCACCATGGTGAAACCCTGTCTCTACTAAAAATACAAAAATTAGCCGGGCGTGGTGGCAGGCATCTGTAATTCCAGCTGCTCGGGAGGCTGAGGCAGGAGAATCGCTTGAACCTGGGAGATGGAGGTTGCAGTGAGCCGAGATCCCACCATAACACTCCAGCCTGGGCAACAAGAGCAAAACACAAAACTCCGTCTCAAAAAAAAAAAAAAAAAGCTCTCTAAACATTTGGCATTGTGGGGATTATGTGCAGTTTATCTGAATGTTATTTGACCCGACAAATACATGGAAAGCTTTGTTAGGAAGATTCTGCATGAAGGGAAATATTTTCCTAACTTCAGTGCCCATAGACTTGCAGTGAGTGAAAGGTCACTTACTGCTCTCATTGAGTCCCTGAAAACAGCAGGAAGCATCAAGAGAAAGATTGAACTCTGGGCACTGATCCCAGGGATACACAAACAAATGGCTGGGCAGATTTTGCAGAAATTCCTGTAATTGGTAAAATGCTGAGAATAGCCTTTGATGTAACTTTTCAGTGGGTTAATTTATTCATTACTTAGCCTAAAACACTTTTAATTTTAATTGCCTCAATTTTTTCCCCTAAATGGTTATGTTTTGCAAGTTCGCCAGCCAGCCTGGGGAAAGACGGGTAAGCCTACTATAGAGTGTGTGTGGGTTAGTTAGGAAACTCACTTAGATGTGAAATGTGTCAGGAAAGAGATCTCACAGAGTGTAGGAATAATTATTTTTACAGATGTTTCATTTTGGACCTTTTAGTAATACCATTTAAAGAGAGATTCTGCAGATGAGTAACAGACTCTTAATTTTAGTGTCAAATGGTACTCTATAAAAAATGGAGTTCAGGCCGGGCGCGGTGGCTCACACCTGTAATCCCAGCACTTTGGGAGGGTGAGGTGGGTGGATCACTTGAGGTCTGGAGTTTGAAACCAGCCTGGACAACACGGTGAAACCCCGTCTCTACTAAAAATATGAAAAAATTTCAGGGCATGGTGGCAGGTGCCTGTGAGGAGGCAGTGAGCTGAGATCGTGCCACTGCACTCCAGCCTGGGTGACAGAGTGACACTCTGTCTCAAAAAAATAACAAAAAAACCCCAAAAAATGTAGTTCAGTTGCCTTTATTCATTTTCACCAAACTCTACACAAACAGTACGGAGCATAAGTAGCCCATGGAAATGATAATCAATTCCAAGACATTGGTTTGGTCATGAAAAAAGAAAAATCAAATTACTTGGCATTCTTCTTCCTCTTCCTCTCCCCTTCTCTTTTTGAACAATTCAGTCCAAGGTCATTCAGTTCAGCTTAGGCATCCATGCTGGGTAGTGGGGAGGCCCAGGACCGTGGCAGAGCATTCAGAAACCAGCAGGGTAAGGAAAGCATCCACAGTGTAGCAAGGGTGGGGACCTGGAGAGACAGGAGACAGCACTGGTGGTGACCTATAGCAAGTTGTCAGAGGTTGAGTGGAGTGAGGAAAGAGGCATTGGAATGATTGACAGAGGCTAAGAAGACAAGGCAACTAAATACTATTCTGCATTAAATGCTTATGTTATAAAGGACATGATTGGAAATTGGTGAAACTTGAACAAGATTGGGGATTAAATATTGGAACTTTATCCATGATGACTGTGATGATCATATTATGGTTATATAGGAGAACATCTTTGTTGTAGGAAATGTACATTGAAGTATTCAGGGGTGATACAGCATATTAGCATAGTTCTTCCATGTTTTCTGTAAATTGGTTTCAAAATCAAATGGTTACTTTAAAAAACCATTCAAAATTGTGTTTAAAGGAAACATGGACCAATAGAAAAACTCAGAATAAGTAAATGTAGTTAAATTGATGCATTTTACCTAAGAGATGTAGATTAAAAATAAAGAGGCTGAAAAAAAACAATTATGAGAAATAACAGTTCGTTTATGTATGTCTCTAAATCAAATTAGCCTGGATTTCTGAATGACAAAGATGTAATTGGCACTGGGATTGTTCCCCATTCTTTTTGGGACGTTTATTGCCTAGGACATCTGTATCAGTCTTCGAAGTACTTTTTAAAGCTTGAATATCTGAATGAACCCGTCAGACTGACTGTTATCTGGTCTTCTGTAATGGGCTTCCGCACCTTTGACGAGACTCTTAGCTGAAAGGTTGCTTGTCCCTAGGCCCGGTTGCTCCACGTTGTAAGAGCATTTGCAAACGCTTGGTTTTACATGATTGTGCACATGTCAAGTCTGCTCTGTCACTGTAGAAAAAATATTCCTTTTCCACTTGACATATAAAGCATGGAATTGTTTGTTTTAAATGTCTTTTGTCAAGGATTTCATATATCTGCTTGACGTGTTGTGGTACTGTATAAAAGACAAGTGTGAAATTCATTGCTTACTATGATAGCCTTAACACGACTACAGTAAATCTAGTTTTCTAAAAAACGGAGTATATGCTTAGCTTGGTTAAAATTTTATAATGAAATGACTACTCTGGTAATAAATATTAAAAAATATCATAAAGTGGGGGCTAAAAAATGATACTGCATGTGTTCCAGTTAATGAACATTTTTGTTGTAATAATACGAAGAGTGATTGAAATCTGAAAACATTTGAGATTTTAAAATAGTTTTAACCTTGTAACTACAGGATTGTAATTTAAGTAGCATACCTACTTAATAAGGCAGCAATTAAAATTATTGCTAAGAATTAAATTACCAAGAAGACATGGTCTAGTATGTATTGCCTGGGCTGTGGTTTGAATTACTTTTAATTAAGTATAATCACATTTTTTGAGAGTATAAAAACAGAGGATATTACTTGCTTCTAATTCACAGATGTGTTTATGAACCATTGGCAATTACAGCATTTGCAATTGAGGGCCTAAGAAAATTTTAGGTTAAAATAACATGTTGAGTTATGCCTTATAACTCAGTATATGCTTATACTTTATATGCTTTATGGAGTTTTGAATATATAATATATATGTATAATAGTATATTTTTCCAGGAAATATATAACTTGTAGTTCCTTGACTTATTTTGTAACTAAATCCCATGGAAAAAAGTTTATTGAATGTCATTGTTTCTCAGGCAAATGTAGAGTTAAGAAAATGATATATATATACATATTGGGAATCTTTTAGAAGGCTTGGACTTGGTAGCTCAAATCTTCTACAACCTTGAGCTTCAACTTTCTGGCCGGTTCAAGAGATCTCTTCACTGTCCTTTTCATGTAAAGTCAATGTTTATGGAACACTAGACCAAAATGGAAGGATTCCTTTGGAAACTGAACAAACAGTTGAATTAGTCTTTGACTTGATGGAGTGATTTGATCTAAAATATTACCTAACCGTTTTAGATATCTGTTCAATCAGAGCTGCCTCCATATATGCAAATGATAATTTGTCTTGGATTTTTAGATATCTTAGCCCTCAGACAAGCTAATAGAGTTTAAATTGAACCTGGTGTTTTAGGGACAGTTGAATTGTTGGGATGCCCAGGAAAACAGTCACATTTTTCTACAAGTATGTGTTTATTTGGCTGGAATGTGGGTGAGGAAGAAGTTATATGTGAATTAAAAGAAAGATTGTCTCAATGTCACATGTTAAATTAAATTACAGGCAGAACTAAGCGAGTTTACGATTGCTGCCGCTGGGAGCAGAGACTATTTTCAGCTTACATTTATAACAGAAGGAGGGATTTAAAATATAGTATTATGCCTACCCTGATACAGCTAACCTCCTCCACCCGCCCCTCCATGCACATACAGCTACATGCTTACCCTCGAACTATGAAAGAAGGGTGTCTCTCAGACATCCTATATTTAACCCAGCTTTGGACACGTCCCTGGAGTCTAGTCTTTTTGAACACAGCAGTGAAGATAAGGAATGGGGAGGGGGCTTTGATTTCAAGACCACTAGATATAGTAGATTCCTAATTTAATTTCAAAGACAAATCAATTATTAACACAAATACAAAGAGAACAGTATTTTAAGCAAAGCTTCTGTTGTGGCAGATAAACTTTTAAGGTGTCTCCCAGTTGGGTTTCTATTTTAGATGACTTTTTGAAGAATATATCTCTGTAATAGAAATATGTTTGATGATTCTCATCTTTAAGAACTTCACATTTGCTATAATTAAGATATTTATGAATTTATTGTAAGAAGGTTGGTAGAAAAAGTAATGCAACATCAAATGGGAAAATAAATATATAATATTATATAGCTGTTCAAATATAGGGTTTATGATTCTTGAGCTAATTTGAACTGCTGTACAACACCAGGAGAAAAGTCCACAGCTGTGTTAAGAAAGCTCTTATAAGCTTATGAAATTTTATAGCACAGGCTGTCACAGAACCTACAATTTACAAACATTTGTAAAAGTTAGGAAAGTTTTGGGTTCCTCAATAGAAAATGATGTTGCTTAGCTTTAAGAAAGTAACTAATTTATCTCTTTTTATTCTTGTCCACTAACAAAGGAACCCAAATGGTCTTTTAAAATTATAATAAAACTAAGCTAGTAAAATATCACATAGATTTTGAGATACTGTGAATAACCATAGAAAATAACAATTTGTTGTTCTTCATGTATAAAAATAAGCTTAACATGCTTATCAATACATCTTGAACTATAAGAGATTTATTTCAGCAGTGTTGCCAAAGGGCAAGCAATGCCTGCTGCCTGTAGAAAACTTTGAATTCCCTAAGCTCAGGGCTCCTCACTTGTCATGTAACCCACTGCGTGTGCACACATCCATCTGTGCCCATCCATATTCCCCCAGAGGACTTGGAGGCAAGGGAATTGATGCAAATATGCTGATGCTCATATTGTTTGCTATGCTGTAAGTAATACAGTCCTTTGCTTTGACCCAGGAGTCTTCTGCCGCAACGATGAAACAAACTGGCAGACTCATTTGTTAGCTTGCAAGTAGGGTAAAATCTCTCCTCACGGTTCTCATGATCCGCCCGCCTTGGCCTCCCAAAGTGCTGGGTTTACAGGCGTGAGCCACCGCGCCCAGCCCTGCTTTGTATTTTTAAAGGGTTATAACAAGAAGGACATGCAACAGAGACCAGGTGTGACCCACAAAACCAAAAGTGTTTACTATCTGCGTTTTACAGAAAACCTTTGCAGACTCCTGACTTAGACAAATGCCTTATGATTTTATTCTGAATTAATATGACTCTTTCTACAAACAGTTGTCTTTAAATAAAAAGATTTTACAATTATTGTGTTTTCTTTAACTAGAGTGTGTACTCTCATCCTTTTCCTTACTTTTCAAACTTAGAGTTCCATTATTAGGTTATATATTGTAACTCAAGAGGGTGGGAGTAAGTTCAAGACACTACTTTCCTATATGCTTGGACTGGTGTGGAGTAATACTGCTTACGTCAAAGTCAGGCACTCACCACTGCTTCTTATAAGTACTGTTCTTGTTTCACAAAACAAGCCCACATAGTAAAGGGAAGTGATGTCATAAGCATTGTCATTTGTAATTTAGGTGAAATTAGCTGACGATTGTAGTGAAACTTTTAATATTTAACTTCTACTATTGGAAATAAATGTCTATTTTATCTCTTTCTATTCATAGAACATTCTGGACTGCAAATTTTTATCCTTATGTACCCTAACAGTGTGTTATGTCCTGTTACTTTTTGTGTTGTTGTTAACATTAGAATTTAATCTTTAGTTATATATTTGACTAAAGTACCTAATACCAAAGAAAGTGTTACTAGAAAAGCAAATCTAGGTATTTCCACCCAGTCAGTATAAAAAAATACGTTTTTAAATACTCCCAAATATACATACATCGCAACACACAAAAACACCTATAGGGTAGATATTTAACATATTTTAGATAAATGGTAGTACACAATTATATTTTCAGGTAGCATTTTTCACACTTCACAGCATATCCTAAATAAAATTTGGGCTATGATTTCATTTATTTTAATTTAACCTCCACTTTAATTTTTTTCACTTATACTACATAATGCTAAAATGCATGCTTATTTCTTAGATGAGATTTCACAAAAGAAGCCAAACCTCTTTTCACTTGGTTGGGAAATAATTCCTGTTATAGGAATTTTAGATCTGAATTTTCCCCCGTAATTTCTTATTCTGAATTCCAGGTATTATCTTAAATTTGATCAGTTCTAACCTTGCCCCTTCTCACCTCTCTAATGAATGGTGAAGCTCATCGCATCATACCGATGTCCATAAACAAGCGGGAGCAGCAGTCTTCATATAGTAAATACTGTGGAATAGTTTTGTCATAGTTGTTGCTTTTGTCCTATTTTTGTCTTCATATTCAGGCTGCCTGGGCAACAGCTCTGGCTCTGGATGTAAAAGCCCCCTGGGAGGGTTTCAGGGCTGCCTAAGGCTCATCACCATTGGTGACAAAGCGGTGGATCCCATCTTAGTACAGCAGGGGGCGCTGGGGAGTTTCAGGGACCTCCAGATAGACTCCTGCGGCATCACAGACAGGTAAGGGCCATCCTAGGTCACTTTAGCTTGCCTGTTTTCAAAGTTGAAGAAAGCAAATGTAGACAGCTGGAAAAAGGCATTCCGTTCTCTTTTTTGTTGTTGTTATCTTTCGAGAGGGAATGAAATAGTCATAATTACTATGAGGATTAGAAAACTTCATCTTGGCCGGGCGTGGTGGCTCACACCTGTAATGCGGCTGAGGCTGGCGGATCACGAGATCAGGAGATCAACTTCATCCTGGCTAACATGGTGAAACCCCGTCTCTACTAAAAATACAGAAAAAAAAAATTAGCCAGGCGTGGTGGCAGGCGCCTGTAGTCCCAGCTACTGGGGAGGCTGAGGCAGGAGAATGGCATGAACCCGGGAGGTGGAGCTTGCAGTGAGCAGAGATCGCGCCACTGCACTCCAGCCTGGGTGACAGAGCGAGACTCCGTCTCAAAACAAAAGCAAAAACTGCATCTCTAATGGAATAAATAGCATTTTTTAAATGATAGTATTTTATTAGAAGATATACACCTTATGAATTTTACCTTAATATGATCCCGAGTTGCTCAGCTAATAGTTATAAAGCTCGCTTTTGCAACCACACACCCATCAGTTGGATGATATTTTTCCAGGCAGAGGAATTTGCCAGGTTACTATTCATCAGCCACCCAACCCCACATGTTCTGCAGAGAAAATAAAAAGTAATTTCTGCTAGAAAAGTTTGAATCATAAAGACGGATGAAGATGTGTGCAGAAGGACATACTCAATGAAATATGGAGGTTAGACAAGAAAAACATTTAATTCAAATAAGTATTACAACCACAGTTATGCTAGTTGTGCCATAATTTTACAAAGATTTTGGCTGAGAAGAATCATAGGGTCACACCTGGAAAAATAATATTTCTACATACAATTTGCCCCAGTACATTTGGTATTTACTTTCAGTGAATAAATAAATGCTACAGATTTAAAAATTAAAAAGCGATAATCTGGCCCAGCGCGGTGGCTCACGCCTGTAATCCCAGCACTTTGGGAGGCCGAGGCGGGCGGATCACGAGGTCAGGAGATCGAGACCATCCTGGCTAACATGGTGAAACCCCGTCTCTACTAAAAATGCAAAAAATTAGCCAGGCATGGTGGCGGGCGCCTGTAGTTCCAGCTACTCGGCACGCTGAGGCAGGAGAATGGCGTGAACCCGGGAGGCGGAGCTTGCAGTGAATGAGATCGTGCCACTGCACTCCAGCCTGGGCAACAGAGCCAGACTCTTCTCAAAAAAAAAAAAAAAAAAAAGTTATATCTGCATCTGGTAGAACTTTCAAAACCTGCCTTCTTCATGGAGTAAATTCAGTTAGTCAATTCTGTTTTAAACATTAACTGTAAAATTATCCTCTCTGGCTAAACAGGTTTTAATTTATAACTCACAGTTAGTGACATACTAAAAAAACGCAATTACTACTAAATGAAAAGTTCATTCATATGGACTTTATTTATTCAGCATGGAATAATTTCCCCCTGTGAACATTCTGTTGATTTGTAGGAAAAATGAATTAATTCAAAGATGAGGAGTATATGAAGTGTAAGAATTTGTCAAGTACCTCTCATTCTTGACCTTGAGATTTGAATTCTTGGCACACAGCTGGGACTGCATTTACATCTCAACACCAGCTCCAGAACCCCACTCTGTAGTCGTGGGAAGGGTAGTTGGGAAGGTTTCTGGCCATTTGCTCACTTAATATAATCCCAAGTTGCTCAGCTAACTAGCCAGGGAGCTCAGCTCTCTCTGAGTTAAGGGGTAATGTCCCATGGGCCCACACTGTGAGTGACAACAGCTGTCAGCTCAACTGTGATGCAAGTGTGATTTTCTTCACTTGTATGACATTATTTTGATACCTTGTTAATTACTCACAAAATATGATCCATTTGCAGTGTTTCTGTTATGAGATATATATTGTGAGGCTGCCTCTTTTCAGAGATGATCCATGTTGCCTGCTTTGTGCATGTAGCTCCCAAAGTACAAAACTATTGTTTTTACTGTTATAGGCTGTTTTGTTTTAACCTTAAAGTCCCAAGAGTTACATTGGTGCCTAACTTGGTATCTAAGATCCCACATTTTAAAAAGCCCTCCAAATTGTACCCCAAAGTTACTTGTAAACATGCTCAACTAAGCATGTATGTGTGAGCCACACTTAAACTTCAGCCATGATGTGTACAATAATCATTGCAGATAAGGATTTTAAGAAAGCACTTTTAAATCATTTTCAAATAGGGCTACAAATAAAGGCTATTTACTATTTCATTCCCAAATTCAGTAACGTAGAAGACTAGCTCCTCTGAGATTATTTTGAAAACCTGAATTTTATAAAGCAATAAAATTAGAAAACTTTGGGGACACAAAATGACATCCTACAGAGTTAAAATTAAAGACCTTTGCTGTTCCCTTTACATAAAGTTTTCAAAACCTGAAAATACTGAAAATTCACTTTTAAGTATCCTGAAAACAGGCCTGTAAGCATCTATCAGCCTTTCTTTGTTGTTGTTAACAAACAAACAAACAAACAAACAAAAATCTAATTGTATTAGTCTGTTCTCATGCTGCTAATAAAGATATACCCAAGACTGGGTAATTATAAAGAAAAAAGGCTTAATGGATTCACAGTTCCACATGGCTGGGGAGGCCTCACAATGATAGCAGAAGGTGAAGGAGAAACAAGACACGTCTTATATGGCAGCACGCAAGAGAACCTGTGCAGGGAAACTCCCCTTTATAAAACCATCAGATCTCGTGAGACTTATTCACTATCATGAGAAAAGCCTGAGAAAGATCTGCCCGCATGATTCAGTTACCTCCCACAGGTTCCCTCCCATGACACGGTGGGAATTATGAGAACTACAATTTAAGATGAGATTTGGGTGGGGACACAGCCAAACCATATCACTAACTCACAAAGTAGAAACATATGTTACTCAAATACCAGACCTAAAAATCCTACTTAGGGACAGATAAGGGGTATGAAGTTATCTTTTTTAGTCAAAATTTTAAGCTACGCAAAAAATAGCAATGGGCACTTTGGATGACAGAGTCACAAATAATGGATGTTTATGTTTGGATAGGTGTTTGTTTGTTTGTTTTTTTGAGACAGAGTCTCGCTCTATCGCCCAGGCTGGAGTGCAGTGGCACGATCTCGGCTCACTGCAAGCTCCGCCTCCTGGGTTCATGCCAATCTCGTGCCTCGGCCTCCCGAGTAGCTGGAACTACAGGCGCCCGCCACCACACCTGGCTAATTTTTTGTATTTTTAGTAAAGACGGGGTTTCACCGTGTTAGCCAGGATGGTCTCGATCTCCTGACCTCGTGATCCACCCGCGTCAGCCTCCCAAAGTGCTGGGATTACAGGCGTGAGCCACCACACCCGGCCAGGATAGGTTTTAACTTCTTAATCACCTCTTACATCAAATTCCTATACTGTTTTAAGGTTTGCCCTGTATACCACATGGCAGAGCTTCCAGTGGAGTCCTGTGCTGCGTTCCAACTGGGGCTCCCTGAGCAGGGAGGCCTCCGTCACCTCCTCACCTGGCTGTGCTGACCAGGCTTCTGACCCCACTCCTGCCCTCCCTCTGCCATCTTCCCCTCTGTTGGTCTTCTGCATGCTAGCTACTTCCTCTATTATTTGTAATACATGTAAATTTTTCACAATTGATGTTGTGTTTAGTTGAAGAAAAATAGTGTATACATGTTGATAGTCTCTAGATCACTTAAATAGTTCTTATTTCCAAATATTTTGAACTAAAGTTATTCTCTCCCTGTTGATATCAAACAGCAGTGGTTTTTAATGTTTTTTAAAATTTGTGGAATCTTCAAGTCAGGTATGATCTTAAGATGCTCCATTATATTAAGAAGGAAGGGGAGGAGAGGGAGAAGGATGTGGGGGAAGAGGAACAGCTGCTCTTTTAAAAATGGTATGAGGGTGGGCCCCCACCCCAGCCAACCTTGCCTGTCGCTCCAGCTCCCCCTCTTCTGATCAGTTCACACAGGCTTTTCCATGCCTTGGCCTTTGAAATACTTGAAAAGTTGTGATTCTCATGGCCCCTAACTCTTCTCTGAATGCAGACTAAATGCTCATTAACACCATGTAATTATGGAAGTCTTGGCCCTGAGCTGGTGGTGCAGTGCTGGAGAGCCAGGATAGGGGGCTGGGGGCATGGGGAGGGTAGGGAATGCTGCGGATTCTTCCCAGCCCCTCAGGTTCCCCTCAAAGGATCTCTCCCGAGGCCAAATACAGGCCCCTGGGGCTTTCTGTCAACTTCATACCCCAGTTCTCTGCTGGTCGTCCTTCCACCACAGCCAGGAGGCCTGTCACAACCTCCCGGCCCCTCTTCTGTTACTTCTCTGGGTCCCATGGTGAGGGGCACTGGGGTGCTCCCCGCCTCTGCCGCTCCAGCATGGACTATGATGTCCCTCACGGCCTGGAAGGTCAGTGTCCTTTAGAATCTTCACTCTTTACCAGGTCCTTAGCTGTGTACTCAGCAGTGGGAGACAGCGGCCAGAGGCTGAGATCCAACCCTGCTCAAGGCAGAGGTGGGTCATGGTATTCAGGCCAGGCCTCCAGAAGGTCACACTACCTCTTGGTGACACTCTGTGTCAGGTGCTGGTCAGTTTCCATAGTGTACCCTGCTCCCTGTTCCCCTAACAATCCTGAGAGGCAGGCATGCTAGGCCCCCAATATTATAGTGGGCGGCAGCAGATTCCAAGAATTCTGAAAGTGTGAGACCTCCAACTGTTCTTTTTCAACATTGGCTGGTTCAGGGTCCCTTGAGGTTCCCTATGAATTTTAGGATGGATTTTTGTTTTCTGCAAAAAAAGGCATTGGGATTTTAATAAGAATTGTATTGAATTTGTAGATTGCTTTGGGTCATATTGACATATTACCAGTGTTAAGATTGCTTAAAAAGCAATAACCGACTGCTTATTGCAAATCTAAAAGGTGACAAGATGACCTAAATTAAATGTTCTTCAAAATTTCTGAACCTCTGTCACTATGTGACTGAAGCTGTTCCTGTTTCTTTCTTCTCCCCTCTGTATCTTCCTCCCTGTTTCCCCTTCTTTCTTTTAAAAATGACCACAATATAGTAACGGAGCATGCCATATTTCATAGTTTTATGTATGTAATTGGTTTTGCTAGCCACATGTCAAGTTATTGTGTCACTTGGGACAAAGAAAAAAAGAAATGTGTTGAAAATTCAGCTGTCTCAGAAACCTAATAATCAGCTGCATGCTAATGGATATATTTATCTAAAGTTTGTCAATATAATTAGAGAACCTTGATGGCAGACCCAGTAATCACGTCATGTGGGGTTATCTTGCGTATGCTGCTCTTTCACATTAACCTGTTTTTGGTTAACCTGTTTTTGGTAAGACACTTATTTTTTGATGATTGAAAAAGGGAAACAGCAGTTGTATCTGTTTTCTTTTAGGTGCTTGCCCAGCTACTGTGAGCATGGGGGCGAGTGTTCCCAGTCGTGGGACACCTTCTCCTGTGATTGTCTGGGCACAGGCTATACGGGCGAGACCTGCCATTCCTGTAAGCCTCACACCTCCCTCTCGTTTCTGTCAGCATCTCTTTGTCATTTCATTTTGATTAGTTGTTTATATGTATCTGCATATTTGCAATCATGCAAACACATCAGAAGAGATATTTCAGCATTCAATTTCTAGTTTACTTTTAATCCACCTTATTTAATACAAGGGTGTTGAGACAGTGCACAGAAATACGTGGTACACATAGGATTGAAAAAAGAAACTGGCAAGCAATGGGGAAATAAGTCTAGGAGAATCAGATATAGTAAAAGGTAGAAACTAAATTAAATTAAAAATGCATGATGTTAACAGCTTGTTCCATTACTTGAGTTGGACCATAATTTTAATTCTGAGAATCTTCTCAGTCAAAGAAAGGTGGAAAAACAACCCCTTGCCAGGCTGTCAATGTTGCATTTAAGGTATTTAAAGATTTTTTAACAATCACTGGGATGATGCAATCATGGGATTGTACATGGCAAGATTTTTGAAGAGGTAATGGGATATCAGCTAGAAACTAGAGGACCTTTAAGATCTCTTACAATGACTGTGATTTTCTTTGGTGGTGGTGATGATGATTGTAAAGTGAATAATTGTAAAAGTATTAATGTATTGAGTACTTATGTCAGCCCTCTGCTATTGCTTTGCATATATTAACTCATTTAACCCTAAAGCAGCTGGAAGAAAGTACTATTATCTTCATTGCAGAGTTGAGGACAGAAAGAGGTTAAGTAACTTGGCCCCCAGCTAGTTTGTGGGAAGATGAGGAGTTGAGCTAAGGAGGTTGGCTCCACAGCCTTGGCTCCAGGATGCCTGATTGGTGGTCCATGCACCAGCAGCACCCACAGCCCCTGGGAACCTGTTGCAAGTAAAGACTCTCAGGCCTTACCCAAACCTACTAAATCAGAATCGCTGGAGATGGGGCCCCGAGTCTCTTGTAACCAACCTTCCTCATGCTTCTGGTAGACATTTAAGTGTAAGAACAATGTCTAAGGGATGGCATATTCTAACACTTCTCAACTGCCTCTGCCATATTAAAAATCATCTGTCTTTACTGAAGAATCACCCTCTGTGAATTTCAAAGGCCATGCCGTTTTATTGACCTCTAACCTGTTATAATTAGAACATCACAGAATCTGAAAAGCCTTTTTTTTCTTATTTGTTTTTAACTTTTAGAGTTTTCTTTCTGTATATCTCTACTGACGTTTCTGAGCAACTTCTCCTCAGGAATATTTCGCCCATCCCTGGGTCTTCAAGGAAACAGAGATGCAAAGTCCTCAGTTCCACTTGCTCATCCTGAGTTCCTAATTGAAACTTTTAAGAACTCTTCCGTGAGACATTTGATTTTCACAAAAGCCACAGGAGAAAGGCAGGCTGTGGAGTGTTAAAACCACACTTCATACTTGCAATGAGAATTCTGCGCTCCCAGTCCTGAGGTTCTGTAAAGGATCTGGGCAAAAGAGGAGACAGTCCAGGAGTGACTCTCACAGATTGAAGCATGAAGTATGATTTTTGTACTAGAAGGGTCCCTGTTTATAAAGCTGTGACACATTTTCTTTTTTTTGTTTGTTTGTTTTTTGTTTTTTGAGATGGAGTCTTGCTCTGTCGCCCAGGCTGGAGCCCAGTGGCATGATCTCAGCTCACTGCAAGTTCCGCCTCCCAGGTTCACGCCATTCTCCTGCCTCAGCCTCCCGAGTACCTGGGACTACAGGCGCCCGCCACCACGCCCGGCTAATTTTTTGTATTTTTAGTAGAGATGGGGTTTTGCCATGTTAGCCGGGATGGTCTCGATCTCCTGACCTTGTGATCCACCTGCCTTGGACTCCCGAAGTGCTGGGATTACAGGCATGAGCCACCATGCCCAGCCGCTGTGACACATTTTCTAGGAGTTGAGTGGCCTCTCACACCAGAGGCTGAATGTCTTGATAAGGTCATAGAGTTGGTGCAGGGACCACATCTTTTACTTCTGTGTATCTTTCATCCTCCAGGCATAGTATCTTACCTAAAAGCAGAAGCCTAATCTTGTGTGTTACCTGGAAAATTTATATCTGCCACCACACTCAGCATTGTCTGATTGCATTTAATATTGCAATTAATCAATGAGTTATATTAGTCCATGGTTATTCACTGCAATCAAAATATAACTCCAAAAACTTCTGAGGGAAAATATCAGGAGATTGAAAAAGTATTTCAAGTGTCAGTCTCATCTAATAATTGATGGCTATAGGTAGAAATTTGCCAAGCCCACAGTCATTCACTGTGAGACTAGACTGCCACACCTAGTTGAATAGGTTATTTTGTATTTCTAATTGTATAACATGTATCAATTATGTGCAACTAATTAATTGTATATAATTATTAATTGTATATAACTCATTGTATATAATTAATTATACAATTAAAATCAATTGTATTCAATTAATATATACTATACATTAATACATGTATACATTATCATTTAAAAAGCCAAACAGTTCACATAAAGCACAAGTTCTAGTCACTTTCCTCAATATTTGTCTCCATTCCAAACCTAGTCTGTGCCCTATATTTAAGTATTGTTATTAATTTGAGTGAATCCCACCAGACATATACAAATATATGTATCTATTTAAATCAATATGCCATAAGTGGCAAAAAAATAAAGATTAGCAATGTCCATCTCCTGCAGATATTAATTCCATACCTTGTACTTGGTAAAACATTTACTTGCACAAATGAAAATACTCAATTATGCTAGAGTAAATTTACATTATATAGGGATGTCTTTCAAAAAAGTTTCTCTCCTGTTTTGAATTTCGGCTGTCTTGAATTGTCACTTGCAAAATACTTAGGGATGTTTCTTTTTTAAATCAGCTTTAATTATTTTTTAATGACGAGAAGTTGATAGCTTATAAATTCCATTTATCTCTTTAAAATGCTCATTCATATTGTTTTAAAGGAAGCAAAGGGTATAACTGCCGCATAGCTTAAGAAAAACTTTACAGAATGCTTATGGGAAAATACCAGATTATTTAGGCATTTTAATGTGCTTAGGTATTCAGTTATTACAGGGAGAATGAGGGTTTCTTCCTTAATTATAGAGTTTAATTCTGAGGTATAGTTGCCATGAGTTTGGAAAGAACCATGCTTCAATAGCACGCAGAATTCAGATTCACAAAGTTTTCCTCTCGTATCTCTTCAAGTGTTTTACACTGTGCTTCAGAGTTTGCATGCTTTCTTGCCTAAAAGCAAAAGAAAACATTTATGTAGAGAAAGTACAGTCTCTAGACATTGCCAAAAGATTGTCTATTGAAGATAGTATCGCATTCCCACTGTAAGCACATCTTCATGTTTGAACACCAACACAATCTTTCCTTCTTCCTCAAAATAGAAATACACTGTGACCGAATATTTATTCAGCATCTAACAACATCCAACCTTTGAATGTATTTTGACTAGGTAATTTTTTTCTCCTTTGTTAATAAAAATAGATTTAATTTTTTAAATGTCATTTTTTTTGCATCTCATCAAATATACTGTCATACACTATAAAAATGATGTTGGGTCATATGTATCACATGTCTGTAATTCAGAAATGCAAACCTTTGGACACTGACTCAACATCTGGAGATATTTTTTCTGGTTCTTTTGGCTGGTGTTCTCCTACAGCTCTCTACGAGCAGTCTTGTGAAGCCCACAAGCACCGAGGGAACCCATCCGGGCTTTACTATATTGATGCAGATGGAAGTGGCCCCCTGGGACCATTTCTTGTGTACTGCAATATGACAGGTATGTTGATAATCGTTAGATGCATAGATCAGAATAGACCAAGGAGAAATTTACCTAGTTGGCAGCATTATTAAAACATGCAGTTTGATAGTGTGTACTTGCTAAGTAGAAGCATTAAATATGTATTTATTAATTTTGTTGTCAACAAAATTTTCTTGTATTTCTTCTTTGCCTGGATTGGATTATAGGCAAGATTCAATGCTCTGCCAAGGCATCTCTCTAGCTCCTACACTCCTCATAATACATCTGTTCATGTGCATCATGATAAAATACAAACCTCTGATTCGGTGATTTACATGCTTTCTGTATTTAGAAAAAACAGAGGTGTTTAAAAATGCTAAGAAATAACATAGATATGTTAATGTTCTATGTGCATCTTAAATAATTTAGTGATTTTTATGTCATATAATTTTTTCATAACCAAAGAAACTTGATTATTTCTCGTGCTTTAGATATTAGAAATGAACACTGCTTGGGCTGCGCATGGTGGCTCACGCCTGTAATCTCAGCACTTTGGGAGGCCAAGGCGGACAGATCACGAGATCGAGAGATCGAGACCATCCTGGCCAACGTGGTGAAACCCCATCTCTACTAAAAATACAAAAATTAGCTGGGCGTGGTGGCGCCCGCACCTGTAGTCCCAGCTACTTGGGAGGCTGAGGCAGGAGAATCCCTTGAACCAGAGAGGCAGAGGTTGCAGTGAGCCAAGATTGCGCCATTGCACTCCAGCCTGGCGACAGAGCAAGACTGCATCTCAAAAAAAAAAAAAAAAAGGAAAAAAAGAAATGAACACAGCTTGATTATAGAAGATTGCACTAGAACGCCTTTTAAATAGTTACATTTTTACAGAAATTTGTTGTCACCTAGCTCTTCCAACTCTCTGCAAAGTGGAAATCTGGAATAAACTGTTCTCATTTATTGTGCTGACAAAAGGTTTCAAAAGTTTCATAAATTTGGACAATAACCAAATGGGTCAGCAAGCATCAAGGAAAAAGAAAAAAATAACTGAAATTACATGGGCATTTAAAGTGCCTTAGCAAAGATTGTCAAAAAATAGTAAAACTTTACAGGGGATGTTCAGAAGATTCAGAGCCACCTGCACAGCAATGTGCTGAAGATAAAGAAACACAAGCGTTCTGCCATAAGATACCAATTACCTCCAAAATCCCGACTCAAACAATGAAAGCAAAGTGAGAAATCCCATAAAAATGGTCTTGGTGGATATCAAAAGACTCAACCAAAGTCACAACCAGGAAGGACCTTGGTTGTCATCATTTTAAGATGAGGAAACCAAGGCTCAGAAAAGTTGGTTAGGGAAGTATCTACTGACAAAATCTAGCTAATGATAGGGGAATCACTAAACTCTGGTCTCTTTTCTGCCCTAGAAAATGTCACCTTCTCTTTAGATGCCGCATTGCTCTATAGCCAGTAATAAATTCTCTAGTTGTACAAATCAAGCAATAATGATTATAAAATGTGCAATTTCAAACTACTCTAATAGCTTGAAATGTATATATCGTAATAACCTTCAAAAAGCAGTTGCTTCAGAGCTTGGAAGTCAGCACTCTATCTTAAGAACAAGTAAAAAGCCAGGCAAACTGAAAAATTAACCAATTTTTTTAGATCCAGCAGAGAAGTGAGGTCACAGAACAAACCACTGCCCCTCAAAATTGGAGAGACAGGCAGGCTTATATACAGAATGACAGTTTTCTTCCACAAGCACTAACCTTTGGGGAAACCGTTGTCAAGGTAGGAAAACCTAAACTTAATTGACGAATTGTTGGATGTTCGATGTGGACACATCTGAGAGTTAAGAACTCCAGGAAGACCCAGACAGAGAAGGGTCCCCACACTTCTGTGAGTTTGACACCTAGCTTGACCGGGTTCTCACAGTGAATGTTGGAGAAAAATCTCCTCATGCTTCCAGAAAGGGAAGGTGAAAAGGAACCGTCTTGAAGTACACCAGAGCTTTCTGTTCTTCTTAACAAGGTCTTTCCTCAAGGGCAAATATTTCACCTAAGCTACTGGTGTTTTGTTTTGTTTTGTTTTGTTTTTTGTTTTCAGAGCCTAACCTGCCTGGAGGAAGGAAATTACCCACCTCTGGCCATCCTGTCCCATGTAAGGGTGGTGATGGGAGGGAGGGCTGAGAAGCTCTTGTGAAGGTCACAGCCCAGAGGCACAGGCTCCCTAAAGGACTCAGACCTAATCACAGGACTACAGAACCTTTCCCCTTCCCACACATGTTACTTATAGTACTGCAGGCCTCTTTACAGCAGTTACAGTTACTTTTACCTGGTACATCACATCTGGTTATCAAGAAAAAATTTCAGCTGGACCTATAATCCTATTACTTTGAGAAGCTGAGGAGGGAAGATAGCCTTAGACCAGTTTTGAGACCAGTCTGGGCAACACAGTGAGACCCCCACCTCTACAACAACAACAACAACAAAAACAACAACAAAACAGCATTGTGACAACAACAACAACAACAACAACAACAACAACAAAACAGCATGGTGACATGTATCTGTAGTCCCAGCTACTTGGGAGGCTGAGGTGGGAGGATCGCTTGAGCCTGGGAGTTGGAGACTGCAGTGAGCCATGGTCACACCACTGCACTCTAGCCTGGGCAACAGAGAAAGACCTTGTCTCCAAAAAAAGAAAAAGAAAAAAGTTCAAGGCAAAAAACACACTTTGAAGAGACAGAGCAAGCATTAAAAACAGACGGTGGCTCACGCCTGTAATCCCAGCACTGTGGGAGGCTGAGGCAGGCGGATCACGAGGTCAGGAGATCGAGACCATTCTGGCTAACACTGTGAAACCCTGTCTCTACTAAAAATACAAAAAAAATTAGCCGGGCGTAGTGGCGGGTGCCTGTAGTCCCAGCTACTCGGGAGGCTGAGAAGGAAGAATGGCATGAATCCGGGAGGCGGAGCTTGCAGTGAGCTGAGATCGTGCCACTGAACTCCCCCCTGGGTGACAGAGCGAGATTTTGTCTCAAAAAAACCAAAAAACAAAACTAACAAACAAAAACCAGAGTCAGATATGGCAGGGACATTGGAATTATCAGACCAGGACTTTAAACAACTATAATTAATATGGAAAAAGCTGTAATGGGTAAAGTAGATAGCATGCAAGACCAGATGAACAATGTAAGCAGCAAGATGGAAATTCTAAGAAGCAAAAAGGAGTGCTAGAGATCAAAAACAGCATAACAGAAATGAAGAATGCCTTTGATGGGCTTATTAGTAGACCAGGCACAGCTTTGGAAAGAATCCCTAAGCTTAGAGATACCTCAATAGAAACTTGCAAAACTGAAAAGCAAAGAGAAAAAAAGACTGAACCCCACCCCCTGCAAAAAGAAAACCCAGAACATAATATCTGAGTACAGTGGCACAACTACAAAAGGTGTAACATACGTGTAAAGAGAATTCTAGGAGAAGAAAGAAAGAAAGGAACAGAAGCATATTTGAAGAAATAATGACTGAGAATTCCCACAAATTAGTATCAGACACCAAACCACAAATCCAGGAAGTTTAGAGAACACCAAAGAAGGAGAAATGCCCCCAAAACTCTACCAGGCATATATTTTCAAACTATAGAATTCAAAGATAAAAGTAAACTCCTTTTTTTGAGATGGAGTTTTACTCTCGTTGCCCAGGCTGGAGTGCAATGGTACGATCTTGGCTCACCACAACTCCGCCTACTGGGTTCAGGTGATTCTCCTGCCTCAGCCTCCTGAGTAGCTGGGATTATGGGCATGTGACACCATGCCTGGCTAATTTTTGTATTTTTAGTACAGACAGGGTTTCTCCATGTTGGTCAGGCTGGTCTTCAACTCCCGAACTCAGGTGATCCACCCACCTCAGCCTCCCAAAGTGCTGGGATTACAGGCATGAGCCACCATGCCCAGGCCAGGTAAAAGTAAATTCTTAAAAATAATCAGAGGAAGAAAGCACCTTACCTACATAGGAGATAAGTATTACAGCATCTTCTCTTCAGAAATCATGCCAGCAAGAATGCAGTGAGATACTTAAAGTGTGAAAGAGAGAAAACAAAACAAAACAAAACCTTCTCCTTGAAAAGTGAAGAAATAAAGATTTTCTCAGACAAATGAAAGGGTCAGTTCTCTAAAAGAGATAACCTTAATATGTATGCTCCTGACAACAGAACACAGTGGATCTTATTTTCTTTTTTCTTCTGGGACATATAGGAATGGGTATACCAGATGCTGGGGATTTCATATGATATACTGAGTAAATTTTAAGTGCAGACAATCCCCGTTTACAATGGTTCTACTTACAATATTGCGACTTCCCTATGTGAAACCATATGCATCCCTATTTCAAGTACCCATACAACTATTATTTTATTATTATTATTATTATTATTATTATTATTATTATTATTTTGAGACAGAGGCTTGCTCTGTCACCCAGGCTGGAGTACAGTGGCACGATCTCGGCTCACTGCAACCTCCACCTCCCGGGTTCAAGTGATTCTTCTGCCTCGGCCTCCCCGGTAGCTGGGACTACAGGCATGTGCCACCACGCCCGGCTAATTTTTTGTATTTTTAGTAGAGATAGGGTTTTACCATGTTAGCCAGGATGGTCTCGATCTCCTGACCTCGTAATCCGCCTGCCTCGGCCTCCCAAAGTGCTGGGATTACAGGCGTGAGCCACCACGCCTGGCCACAACCATTATTATTATTTTTTTTTTTTACTCTCAGTACAGTAGTTAATAAATGACATGAGATATTCAACACTTTATTGTAAAATAGGCATTGTGTTAGATGATTTTGCCCAACTGTGGGCTGATTTAAGTGTTCTGAGCACATTTAAGTTAGGCTGGGTTGAGCTAGGTTCAGTAGGTCACATGTATTAAAATGCATTTTTAATTTATAATAAGTTCATCCGGATGCAACTTCATCATAAATTGAGGAACATCTGTACTGTTAATTCCAATCAAAATCATGAAGTTAAATTAGCTTAATTTTCAAAGTTGGATATTTATTTGAGCAACAGGAGTGGAACAGGTATCAACGTGTTACAGTTACCCTCCTTCTGGGCTGGTGAGACGGCCTCCAGTGTGTTCTGACTCAGCCACACCTCTGAACCCCTTTCCACATTTAGCCACTGTTATAATTAATCTACTCAGGTCCAATTCACTTGAGCCCAGGAGGTCGAGGCTGCAGTAAACTATGAAGGTGCCACTGCACTCCAAGCTGGGCAACAGAGGGAGACCCTATCTCTAATAAAAAAGAAAAAGAAAAATATAAGGGTTATATTAGATGCTCTTTAAGATCCTTTCCAGTTCCAATATGCTTATAATCAATTGAAATAAATTACGAGCAATTAGGGAAACCACAATGGTCTGTGTCCTTCTTTGGGTCTTTTACTACTGATATTATAAGGAGAAGTGAGTCAAGTGGAATTTTATAAACACAAATGCATATCCTATAATGTCCCTGGTTACTATTCTACTCTTCAGAAAAACAAGTTTTACAGATGTATTCTCAACAGTTCCCTTCTCAGTACTGAGGGCATTTCTGTGATTACATCTTAACCATGGGTGACTGCAAATCTATCATACTGCCCACCAGCCTATGTGAACTACTCCGGACCATCATTTCTCTCCCATTGTACAACAAATCATGAACACATGGCCAAAAATGGCATGTGGTTGATCATCTTCAATGCCCAACTTAGTGTTCCATAGGTTTTTCTATATTTGATTCAGTTGATAGGAAAACTCTGAAGGTGAGAGTAGGTGATGTGCACAGAGTAACACCAGGTTGTAAAAATTCTAAAATGAGGCCAGGCGTGGTGGCTCACACCTGTAATCCCAGCACTTTGGGAGGCCAAGGCGGGTGGATCACCTGAGGTTGGGAGTTCAAGACCAGCCTGGCCAACATGGTGAAACCCCCGTCTCTACTAAAAAAATACAAAAATTAGCCAGGTGTGGTGGTGTTTGCCTGTAGTCCCAGCTACTTGTGAGGCTGAGACAGGAGAACTGCTTGAACCCAGGAGGCAGAGGCTGCAGTGAGCTGAGATAGCGCCACTGCACTCCAGCCTGGGCAACAGAGCGAGACTCTTATCTCAAAAATAAATAAATTAAATAAAAAATCTAAAATAAAAAAATAGAGCAATATTAAAGGAAGAACCCATGGAATTGAAATTACCATAGGCACACTTAGAGCCTCCTTTGGTGAGTACAGTGAGTGGAGTGATAATTTAATTTAAAATTGCATTCGTTATTTAAATTTGCAGATTTTTTTTCTGTACTTGTGGCTCATTTGTGGATATCACACCTTTGCTCTCCATGGGTTCTGTGACTAAAGAGATATTTCAGTAGCATGGCTGGTTTTCTTTTCCTTCTTTCCTCTGATCTCTGTTGTTAGGCATGTGTAAGTAACAGTAAGGCTGTGAAATTTGTCTTACGCACAAGCCATTTAGCCATTTAGCAGCCAAGCCATGAAAAATCCTGAGATGTGAAGGGCTGGGAGGGTGATTTCTCAAGGTAAAATGTATCACATTGTTTTGTTTCGTAGTTCTTAAAAAATCCCCATACAAATGTTTCTTCGTTTCTCCAGTTCGGAAAATTTTTATGTAAAATGTCCATTATTCTAAATATATCTTATTAGAGGTTAAAGGACCAGACAGCACCAGCATAGTAGAATTAAAGTGACTTCAAGTCTGGTGGGAGGTCCATTGTTGGGAACACTAAAGAACTCAAGATGCACTTCTTCCCTTTTGAGATTGTGGAGTCATTTTGTTTTTATTTCATCAAAACAATATAAGTAATCAAGTGACAGAGATACATCAGAAATGATGTCAGCAGGCAGTCAGATGCTCAGGGTCACCGCCTGGAAAGTGCTGTTAGAAGCTCAAGGCCTCTGATTCCTCTGGGCTTGGTCACTGATGGAGAAGCTGACATAATTAAACCACTTTATTTTAATAGAGCTGCTTCCTATCATACCTGTGAGTATGTGCGTCACAACGTCCCAATATGTATCTTTTATAAATTTATTCGATAATGAAAGAAATAGAGGCACATACAGATGAGGAAAATGCAGATGAGTTTAAAAAGATAAAGGTCCAGGTAGTAACAGTTTGGCCCCATGCTTGTGTTGATATAAAAAAATGGTTTTAACAACTAAAAAGTCATTGCTTACATGATACATTTTTAGGCGTGACGTCGCAAAAGTTTGGTCATCAGTTCTTCCAATATGCTTTCTCTTAGAGGCTGAGTTCTGGCTCAGTACATTGTTACACAGGTCCAACTCCTCAAATCGCGGCAAACATGCAGTAATGTAAATTTCAATTAAACGTTAATTCACATAAAAGACAGGTCTGCTTTGCCTCTTGCTGCTGGCCTCTGCCGCCCAGTGATGCCTCTCCTTTGCCCGTTTCTGCTCAGCAGACTCCGCGTGGACGGTGGTGCGGCACGGTGGCCCCGACGCGGTGACCCTCCGAGGTGCCCCCAGTGGGCACCCGCGCTCGGCTGTGTCCTTCGCGTACGCAGCGGGCGCGGGGCAGCTGCGGGCCGCGGTGAACCTGGCGGAGCGCTGAGGGCAGCGGCTGGCTCTGCTCTGCGGGACAGCGCGGCGCCCGGACTCACAAGGTAAGCGCCACTGCTGGAGGCTACAGGGGCTCACGAGGCCGGGGCGCGGCCCTCGGGCTGCGAGATGCCTTTGAGGGAGAAAAGGCCAGGGTCCCTCCCGTGGCTCTTAGTTCAAAGCCCTGACCGCTCTCTCCTTCTCTTCGCGCTCTTGGTTGGACCAAAGAGCATTCAAGAGCGCCTTCCTGACCATTGAGAGACGTTCAGCGCGTTCATATGCAGGACTAGTGACTTGTCCTTTCTTAATCAAGGGAAATTTTGCTAATAACTTATGCCTTAGCTTTCCGTTCACACTGAGGAGATAATGGCTGTAGGGCAGGCTGGGTCTAACAGTTCTTCATGAAGACCAGTGGGAACCGGTAACCTCCTTACTCTTCTCAAAGTCTTCCTCTAAATCTACTTGGAACCTTTGTTTCCTCCCTTTAGATTAACTGAATATGCCCTTCCTCAGCCCCGCCACTTTCACTGTGGTCTAGGATGAAATAATGACTAGGGTTATTAAAACCTTTTGTCAGTGGGTGTCTCATTTTTTTGAAATTATATCTTGAGAAATGTATACCTTAATCTTCATATATGGAAGTAATGTTTTGGAAACTCTGCCTGCATCAAAACCGTCTTCTCCTAAGTTAAAGACCAACTTCCCCCTCCTTTCCAGAATCCCCACAGTCCCCTGCAGGACTCACCGCTGCTCTCCAACAGTTTCCATATAGTTTCTTGAAAGCACTTTATTGCTAATTATAGTTAAATACTGAAATTTGCCTTTCATTTTTTTAGTTTTAGCAATCCCAAATAGTATATAGGTGGGAGGATCACTGGAGCCCAGGAAGTCCAGGCTGCAGTGAGCTGTGATTGCTTCACTGCCTCCAGCTTGGGCAGCAGAGCAACACCTTGTCTTAAAAAAACAAAAACAGTGTATGTCGGTAGCATAATAAAGCCACTTAAATTAAATTTCACTCTTAAATTTTCAATACAAAATCTTTAAGTTGGAAAGTGGTGTATGACTGTCATCTGAAGGTGGTTTGCGCTGATCCACTAACCCATACCTGCATTGCCTTCCCTAATCCGTCTGGCCAATCAGCCCCTGGAATATGCCAGACCATTTCCTCTGCCTGGATTGGCCTCTCTGTCACCCAGGCTGGAGTGCAGTGGCACGATCTTTGCTCACTGCAACCCCCTCCCCTCCCGGATTCAAGCGATTCTCCTGCCTCAGCCTCCCGAATAGCTGAGAATACAGGCAGGTGCCGCCACACCCGGCTAATTTTTGTATTTTTAGTAGAGACGGGGTTTCACCGTGTTGGTCAGGCTGTTCTTGAACTCCTGACCTCAGGTGATCCGCCCGCCTCAGCCTCCCAAAGTGTTGGGATTACAGGCGTGAGCCACCGCGCCCGGCCCTCACACTCTTAAATCTTACCCACTGTGCTAGACCTGTGCAGTCGGCATCTGGGTCCCTTCCCAGGGTGATCCCTCTCTCCCCTGGATGCCTGCCAGCCAATTTGGTCTAGTAGAAAGAGCAAAGGTCTGGTTGCATTCAAAGTTTGAAGTTCAAGTGCTAAGTCTGTCACTTAGCAGTTGTGGAAATTTAGGCCATTCCTTAATCTTTTTCAGACTTTGTTTCCTCTTTGATGAAATGGACCCTGTAGTACTGATCTCATGGGGTTTCTTTTATAAATGAGATATCTTACATAAGTTCAGTAAGTAAGAAACTCTCCTTCCCAGTTCTCCAGTTTTTTAAAGTTGGCATTACAAAACTTAATTATTTGTTAGTTCATTGCTGTTGAATGAAGTGTAGCCTTGGCTTTGGAATTGTTTAAAAAAAAAATCCCCAGGTGATCTTTTGGAAACTACTGGGCTAGGGGCTAAAATAACACAAGAAATGGAATATTCTACTCCCATCAGTGAGAATTTCCCTATTTCTCCTCTTTTGAAAAGATAATTTAAAAAAAATTTTGAGATAATTGTAGATTTACATACACTTGTGAGAAGTAACAGAGAGAACCCGAGTAGCCGTTAAGCAGTTCCCCCACCCCAAGGTGACATCTTGTAGAAGTATAGTGCAATATCACAGCCGGAATCTTGACATCCATACAGTCAAGATACACAGTATTTCCATCAGCACAAGAATTCCTCCTATTGGCCGGGCACGGTGGCTCATGCCTGTAATCCCAACACTTCGGGAGGCCGAGGCGGGCGGATCACGAGGTCAGGAAATCAGACCATCCTGGCTAACACGATGAAACCCCGTCTCTACTAAAAATACAAAAAAGTAGCCAGGTGTGGTGGCGGGTGCCTATAGTCTACTTGGGAGGCTGAGGCAGGAGAATGGCGTGAACCCGGGAGGTGGAGCTTGCAGTGAGCCGAGATGGCGCCAATGCACTCCAGCCTGGGCGACAGAGCAAGACTCCGTTCCGTCTCAAAAAAAAAAAAAAAAAAGAATTCCTCCTATTGCTCTATTGCTCGTTAATAACCACTAGTATGTTCTCCATTTCTATGGGTTTTTTTAAACTTCAAGAATGTTATGTAAATGAAATATATAGTATGTACTCTTTGTGGTTGAGTTTTTTTCACTCTGTGTAATCCTCTCTAGATTCATTTGCATAATTGTGTATATCAGTAATTTGTTCCTTTTCATTGCTGATTAGCAATCGGTGGCATGGATATACCAGAGTTTATTCACTCATTGAAGGGCATCTGGGTTGTTTGTTTACAGTTTGGGGCAATTATGAATAAAGCTTTTATGAACATTGTGTACAGGTTTTGTGTGAACATTAGTTTTCATTTCTCTGGAATTAATGCCCCAAAGTGCAATAGGTGGGTCATATATGGTAATTGCATACTTAGTTTTATAAAAAGCTGCCAAATTGTTTTCTAGAATGGTTGTACCATTCCCACCAACAGTGTATGATTTCATTTCCTCCACATGCTCATCAGCATTTGGTGTTGTGACTATTTTTTATTTTAGCTATTCTGATAACTGTGTAGTAATATCTTTATTGTGGTTTTAATTTGTGTCTCCCTGATGTCTAATAATATTGAGCATGTTTTATATGCTTATTTGCCATCTGTATATCGTTTTCAGTGAGATAGATGTCTGTGAATGTGTTTTTGTTGTTGTTCATTTTCTAATTGGATTGTTTGGATTTGTTTTGTTACTGTTGAATTTTCAGTTCTTTATATATTCTAGATACTAGCCTTTTGTTGGATATGTGATTTGCGAATATTTTTTCCCACTCTGTTGCTTGCCTATTCATTGACTCTTAACTGGAATTTTTTAGAGCAAAAGTTTTAATTTTGATGAGATTCAGTTTATCATATTTTCCTTTTATGGGTTGTACACATCGTGTCAATTCTAAAAATTCTTTACCTAACCCTAAATTCCAATTCCAAAGATTTTTGAATTTTTTTCCTAAAAGTTGTATAGTTTTACCTTTTACTTTTAATTCCATGCCCTATTTTGGGACACATTTTATATAAGATGTGAGAGTTGATTCTCTCTCACTCTCTCTGACTATGAATGTTCAGTTGCTCCAGAACCATTTGTTGAAAAGGCTATCCTTCCTGCATTGAATTGCATTTTAAATAGTGTTAAAAATTGGTTGAACTTACTTGTGTGGTGGGTCTGTTTCTGCATTCTTTATCTGTTTCATTAATTTATATGCCTCCACCAATATCACACTGTCTTGAACGTGGTAGCTGTATAGCAGGGTTGAGTTATTCCTCCTGCTTTATTCTTCTTTTTCAAGATTGTTTAAGTCTGTAGCTTGCCTCATTCTGTATAAATTTTGTAATAAATTTGTTTATGTCTACAAACATCTTGCTAGAATTTTTATGGGAATGACATTAAACATAATAGCTCAATGAAGGGAAAATTGGTGTTTTACTGTTTTGAGTCTTCCAATCCATGAACATGAGATATCTTTCCATTTATTTGGATCTTTGATTTCTTGCCTCAGCATTTTGTAATTCTTAGCATCCAGAGATTATATGTTTTATAAGTATGCTTAGGCATTTAGTTAGTTTCTTGATTGATTGTAAGTGCTGTTGTGCTTTAAATTTTTGTTTACATATGTTTCTTGTTAGAATATGAAATATGATTGTTTCATACTAATCTTATAAGCTCTTTTTTGAACTTAATTTTTTTTTAGATTCCTTGGGATTTTCTATATGGAAAATCATGTCATCTGCAAGTAGAGTCAGCTTTATTTCTTCCTCGTCAATCTGTAGGGAGTTAATTTATTTTTCTTGCTTTATTGCAGTAGCTAGACTTTCAATACTAGGTTGAACTAGAGTGGTGAGGACAGACATCCTTGCCTTGTTTCCTGTCTTAGGGGAAAAGCATTCATTCTTGTTTCCTATGTTATGTGGAGGTAGTTCCCTTTTATTCCTGGTTGGCTGACAGTTTTTATTTTGAAAGGACATTGGATTTTTGTCAAATGTCTTTTCTGTGTCAATTGGTATTAAAATATTATATTTCTTCTTTTGTCTGTTGATATGTTGAATCAGCTTTGCATAACTAGAGCAACTCCCATTTCGCCATAATGTATAATTTAAAAAATACATTTCTAATGTGTTTGATTTATTAATATTTTATTGAATATTTTTGCATTCAAATTCATAAGAGATATTGATATGTAGTTTTCTTTTTTCATATTGTCTTTATCTGGTTTCAGTATCAGGACAATACTGCCTACATAAAATGAATTTGGTAGCATTCTCTAGTCTCCTGTTTTCTGGAAGAGATTATGTAAAATTGACTTTAATTTTTATTTAAACATTTGGTAGAATTCTCCAGTAAGGCCCGGCAGGGTGGCTCATGCCTGTGATCCCAGCACTTTGGGAGGCTGAGGCAGATGGATCACTTGAGGTCAGGAGTTCGAGACCTGCCTGGCCAACATGGTGAAACCCCGTCTCCACTAAAAATACAAAAATTAGTTGGGTGTGGTGGCACACACCTATAATCCCAGCTACTCAGGAGGCTGAGGCAGGAGAATCGCTTGAACTTGGGAGGCAGAGGTTGCAGTGAGCCAAGATCACACCACTGCACTCCAGCCTGGGCAACAGAACGAGATTTCATCTCAAAAATAAAAACCAAAAACAAAACAAAACAAAAAGAATTCTCCAGTAAAACCATCTGGGCCAAGAGATTTTTTTTTCAGTAATTTTAAATTATGAATTCAATTTTCTTAATAATTACAATTACTTAAATTACCTATTTCATGTTAGGTGAATTGTGGTAGTTTGTACTTTTTGAGAAATTTGTCCATTAATCTGAATTGTCAAGTTGATTTGTGTAGAATTATTTATAGTATTTTCTTATTATTCGTTTGATGTCTCCAGCATCTGTAGTGATATCCACTTAAATTTCTCATATTTATAGTTTGTCTCATCTTTTTTTGTCTCTGTCAGTCTTTATAGAAGTTTTTCAATCTTACTGTTTTTTAGAACTAGATTTTCATTTCATGATTTTCTCTATTATTTTTGTTTCAAATTCTATTGAAATCTGCTCTTCTCTTTGTTATCTCCTTCCTTCAGCTTGTATGAGTTAATTTTGTTTTCTAGTTTCTAGAGGTAAGAACTTACATTATTGGCTTTAGGGCTTTCTTCTTTCCTAATGTAGGCATTTAATGCTACATTTTCCCTATCAACACAGTTTTACCTACATTTCACATATTTTGATATGTTGTATTCTCATTTTCATTTAGTTTTTCATGTAGTTTCATTTTCATTTAAGTATTTTAATAAATTTCTTTGAAGCATATTCTTTGACCTGTAGCTTATTTAGAAGTGTATTTTTAAAAATTTCTAAGTGTTTAGAGATTTTCTTTTTCTCTTTCTGGTATTGATTTCCAGTTTGATTCCATTATGCTCAGAGAATATACTTTGTGTGATTTTAGTTCTTTTAAATACGTTGAGGTTTGTTTGGCTCCCAGGGATATGGTCTGTCTTGTAAATTTTTCATGGGCATTTGAAAAAAAAATGTATATTCTGCTATTCTTAAGTGGAGTATTCTGTATGTATTTCAATGAGATCCTGTTGGTTGATTATGTTGTTCAGATCTTGTATATCCTTGCTGACTTCTTGTCCAGTAGTTCTGTCAGTTGCTAAGAGAGACATTTTGAAATCTGTACTATAATTGTGGATCTGTTTATTTTTCCATTCTGCTCCATCAGTTTTCTTATATTAATAGGCTTTATATTTTTTAGCAATTTTAAGTTTACATAGAAATTGAGCAGAAAGTACTGGAAGCATATGATTTTTATTCTTTAGCTTGTTGATCTGATGGACTATATTAATTAATTTTCAAATGTTAAAGGCATATCTAGAGTAAATCCCACTTGGTTGTGGTGTTTATTTTTAAAAATTGTTTGGTTCAATTTGCTAATATTTTTTAAGGATTGCTTCATCCATGTTCAAGGGAGATATTTGTTTGCAGTTTACTTTTTTGTAAGGTTTTGCTGGTTTGGGTATTAGGGTAATGCTGGCCCATGGAATGAGTTAAGAAATAGTCACTCTGCTTCTATTTTCTGCAACAGATTGTGGAAAATTGGTATCATTTATTTCTCCAATGTTGATAGAACTCACCAGTGAATCATCTGGGCTTGGTACTTTCTGTTTGGGAAGGTTATTAATTACTGCCTTAGTTAAAAAATTTTGTTTCTCTCGAGACTTTCTCTTTCACCATGTTTTATTATTTAGAAATGTGTTTTTAAATTTTTTGGTATTTGAGGATATTTCAGCTCTCTTTCTGCTATTATTAGTTTAATTCCATTCTGATTCAAGAACATGCCTTTTGTGATTTCTATTCTTTTAAATTTGGTAAAGTGTTCTGTGGCCTAGAATGTGGTTTAACTTAATGAATTGTGCATTTGTATTTGAGAAGAATGTGTATTCTGCAGTGTCTAGATAAAATATTCTATAACGCTAATTGAATTCTAAAGTATTCAGTTAGATCCAGTTGATTGATGGTGCTGTTCAGTTCAAATCTATCCTTAATGATTTTCTTCCTGCTGAGTCTGTCACTTACTCATAGAGGGGTGTTGAAGTCTCCAGTGGTAATAATGGATGTGTCTCTCTGTCCTTGCAGTTCTATCAGTTTCCCCCTAATATATTTTGACTCTTCTGTTGCTAGGTATATACATATTAAGCATTATTATATCTTCTTGTTATATTGACCCCTTTATTATTGTGTAATGCCCTTTTTCATCTCGGATAATTTACCTTGCTCTGCAGTTGGCTTTGTCTAAAATTAATTTAGATACTCTGTCTTTCTTTTTGGTTAGTGTTACCATGGTATATCTTTCTCTAGCGCTTCAAATCTACCTGCTATTTTATATTTAAAGAGGATTTCAGTAGACAACATGTAGGTGGATCATGGGTTTTGTTGTTGTTGTTCACTCTGACAGTCTCAGTCTTTTATTTTATTATTATCATACCTTAATTTCTAGGGTACATGTGCACAACATGCAGGTTTGTTACATATGTATCCATATGTTAATTGTGTGCTGCACCCATTAACTCATCATTTACATTAGCTATATCTCCTAATGCTATTCCTCCCCTCTCCCCACACCCCATGACAGGCCCCGGTGTGTGATGTTCCCCTTCCTGTGTCCAAGTGTTCTCATTGTTCAATTCCCACCTATGAGTGCGAACATGCAGTGTTTGGTTTTTTGTCCTTGCGATAGTTTGCTGAGAATGATGGTTTCCAGCTTCATCCATGGCCCTACAAAGGACATGAACTCATCCTTTTTCATGGCTGCATAGTATTCCATGGTATATATGTACCACATTTTCTTAATCCAGTCTGTCATTGATGGACATTTGGGTTGGTTCCAAGTCTTTGCTATTGTGAATACTGCCTCAGTAAACATATGTGTGCATGTGTCTTTATAGCAGCATGATTTATAATCCTTTGGGTATATACCCAGTAATGGGATGGCTGGGTCAAATGGTATTTCTAGTTCTAGATCCATGAGGAATCGCAACACTGTCTTCCACAATGGTTGAACTAGTTTACAGTCCCACCAACAGTCTAAAAGTGTTCCTATTTCTCCACATCCTCTCCTGCACCTGTTGTTTCCTGACTTTTTAATGATCGTCATTCTAACTGGTGTGAGATGGTATCTCATTGTGGTTTTGATTTGCATTTCTCTGATGGCCAGTGATGATGAGCATTTTTTCATGTGTCTGTTGGCTGCATAAATGTCTTCTTTTGAGAAGTGTCTGTTCATATACTTCGCCCACTTTTTGATGAGGTTGATTTTTTCTTGTAAATTTGTTTAAGTTCTGTGTAGATTCTGGATATTAGCCCTTTGTTAGATGGGTAGATTGCAAAAATTTTCTCCCATTCTATAGGTTGCCTGTTCACTCTGATTTTAGTTTCTTTTGCTGTGCAGAAGCTCTTTAGTTTAATTAGATCCCATTTGTCAATTTTGGCTTTTGTTGCCATTGCTTTCTTAATTGGTATATTTAGACTGTTTACATTTAAAGTGATTATTGATACTTGGATTAATATTTGCCATATTGTAACTCTTTTTTATTTGTTGCCCTTGTTTCTTCTTTTTTTCCTGAATTCCCCTCTCACATTTTTTGTTTTAATTGAGCATTTTATATGATTCCATATCCTCACTTCTCCTAGAATATTAATTACATTTCTTGGTAATTGTTTTAGTGGTAGCCTTTGAGTATGAAATGTACACTATAACAATCTACTTTCAAATAACACTATTCCACTTCATTAATGGTGCTGGTACTTTATAACACAGCATTTCCAATCCTTCTGTCTTATTTTGTATTACATTATTATCATTCATTTTACTTATTCATAAGCCATAATCACCCAATACATTGTTAGTATTATTTAGAGCTGTTACCTATTACATCAATTAAGAAGAAGACACTAGATTTTATTTTAATTTTTTTCTTCTCTAATGCTCCTACCTTTCTTTATGTATTTCTGTGTTTTTGACCTATATTGTTTTTCTTTTCTCTGAGGAACTTCTATTAACATGGCTTGCAAGGTAGGTCTACTGGAGAAAGATTTCCTCAATTCTGTTTATCTAAGTCTTTATTTCTACTTTACTATTTAGGATAATTTTACTGGATATAGAATTTTATATTAGTGTGTGTTTTCTCTCAACAGTTTAAATATTTCACTTCACTTTCTTCTTGCTTGCATGGTTTCTTAAGGGAAATCTGGCATAATTCTCATTCTTGCTCCTATGTAGGTAAGGTGTTTTATTTTACTGTGGTTTATTTCGGGATTTTATTTTTAAAAGATTTTATTTTAATTTTAAGAAAGTCTTCAATTTTTTGCAATTTGAACATGAGATGCCTAGGTGTGGATTTTTTTGTATTTAACCTGCTTGGTGTTTGCTGAGATTCCTGAACCTATGGTTTCATGTCTGTCATTAATTTTGAAACATTCTCAACTGTCATTATTTTAAATATTTCTTCTGGTTCTCACTCTCTTCCTTCTACTTCTGGTATTCCGATTATGGGTTACATAGGTTACACCGTTTGAAATTATCCAACAGGGCCGGGCGCGGTGACTCACTTGCCTGTAATCCCAGCACTTTGGGAGGCCGAGGCGGGCGGATCACAAGTTCAGGAGATCCAGACCATCCTGGCTACCACGGGGAAACCACGCCTCTACTAAAAATACAAAAAATTAGCTGGGCGTGGTGGCAGGCGCCTGTAGTCCCAGCTACTCGGGAGGCTGAGGCAGGAGAATGGCGTGAACCCAGGAGGCGGAGCTTGCAGTGAGCCGAGATTGCACCACTGCACTCCAGCCTGGGCGACAGAGAGAGACTCCATCTCAAAAAAAAAAAAAAAAAAATTATTGTCCAACAGTTTGGATATTATGTTTCATTTTTCATTCTTTTTCTCTTTGTTTTTAATGGAAAATTTTCATTGACATATCTTCAAACTCACTGATTCTTTCCTCAGCACTTCCCAGTCTTCCCAGACTTTGATGAGGCCATCAAAGACATTCTACAATTTTTACTTTTAATCTCTGTATTTCCTTCTGATTTTGAGATTTCATATCTTTGTTTATAGTACCTATCTCTCCTTGCATGTTGCCCACTTTTTCAACATAGAGCCTTTAGCATATTGATTATTATTTCAAATTCCTTATCTGATATTTCCAAATCTGTCACATCTGCATGTTTGCTTGATTCGTCTCATAAGACTGTATTGTTTGGCTTTAGCATACCTTGCAATTTTCTGTTGAAAGCCAGACATGTTGTATTGGCAAAGGAACTGAGGTAAGGAAGCCTTTAATGTAAGGTTTTATGTTTATCTAGTTAGTAGTTAGGCTGAATTTGCTCTTTGCATAACTGTGGTGTCAGAGGCCAAAATTTCCTCTAAGGTTATTTTATTTTTCTTTCTTCCGTTTTGAGTTTTCCCAGAGACTCTGTCTTAAATAGGGTCTAAAATTCACAGCTCTTTCATTTTTAATCTCCTGTTACTATACAGGTAATGTACTGATCTGATTGATGATAAGGTGCGGGGAGAGGAGAAGCATCCTATACTCTTTTTTTTTTAATGTTTTTATTTTATTTTAATTTTTTTGAGAGAGTCTCGCTCTGTAGCCCAGGCTGGAGTGCAGTGGCGCCATCTCAGCTCACTGCAAGCTCCGTCTCCCGGGTTCACGCCATCCTCCCGCCTCAGCCTCCTGAGTAGCTGGGACTACAGGCGCCCGCCACCACGCCCGGCTAATTTTTTTCTATTTTTAGTAGATACGGGGTTTCACCATGTTAGCCAGGATGGTCTGGATCTCCTGACCTCGTGATCCGCCCGCCTCAGCCTCCCAAAATGCTGGGATTACAGGCTTGAGCCACCTCACCCGGCCCAATTTTTTGTATTTTTAGTAGAGATGGGGTTTCACCATGTTAGCCAGGATGGTCTTGATCTCCTGACCTCATGATCTGCCCGCCTCGGCCTCCCAAAGTGCTGAGATTACAGGCGTGAGCCACCGCGCCCGGCCAGAAGCATCCTGTACTCTTAGGATTAGGTCAGTCTTTTAGAGAACCTGTCTTCCTGGACTGTGACCTTCAGAGTGCTTCTCAGCTTCCTTCCCCTTCCCTTGGGTAAGAAAAGAAGGGTAGAGGGGGCTGGTTCTGGATATTTCCATTCCCCTAGGTGGTTTAGGCTCTAGTAAACTAGCTTTTCGGGGGATTAGAATGTTGTTAAGGAGAACATAATGTTCTGCGCTTATTTCAAAAATGTTTACTCCTTCCCTCCCCCTGCTGGAGACATAAGAGCATTTTTTTCCTATCTTTATTCTGAGAACTTGATGGGGCTCTTCCTGGAGATAAAACTCTTGAAGGTGTGTTGACCCTCTAAGGCGTATCCCCCACTCTAGGAGTTTTCAATCTCTGTAGCTTGTCCTTGCTCAGTATCCATCAATTAGTCAGTTACATTTTAAGTGCTTTTACCAGACTCCACCATCTGCTTTGGCTCCATTAGCCGTGATGCTGTTTTCAGTTGTCTCTGCAGCTTTAGGAGTAATGTTTGCCCTATGACTTTAACTGTGTAAGAAGAACTGTTTATTTTTAGTTAGTGCAGCTTTTTTCTTGTTGTGAGAATGGGAGCGATGACTTCCAGACTCTTAACGTCATATCAGATTGGAAACCAGAAGTCTCAATTTTTGCCTCATTTTTTTAAGGGTGTATTGTTTCTTGCATATGCATTTATGTCTTCCTGGTGATTTTTTTAAAAATCATTATGTAATGTCCCTGTTCTAGTATTTTTGTTCTGAAGTCTATTTTATGAGATAGCCATTCTGCTTTCTTTCAAATTTAATTTTTGCAGAGTGTATTTTTTCCATCCTTTTACTTTTAACCTGCCTATGTTTATTTTGAAGTGAGTTTCTTATAAATTTCTCGTTGTGTTATTTTTTTTTCAGTTGATTCTGCCAACATCTAACTTTTGTTATATTTTAACCATTTACATTTAAGGTAATTTTTATAATTTTCTTACTCGTTGCTTGGTATTATAGTGTACATATGTGACTTACCACAGTCAACTTAAATATCTTCACTCTCATAATGAAATATGGAATCCTTATGTCTATTTGGGTCCTTTATCTTCCCCACTTCTAAATATCATTGTCTTGAGTATCATATGGTATTACAGTTTTTGTGTCAATTATCATATGTCATTTCAAAAATTGATAAGGATAGTCTATTATATTTATCCATATTTCTTCTCTTTTCATTTTTTTCCTGATGTTCCAAGAATCCTTTGTTATAATTTCCTTTCTTTTTGAAAAACCTCCTTTAGCCATTCTTTAGGGAATGTCTGCTAGCGACAAATTATTTTAGTTTTCTTTTGTGTTAAAAAGGTTTTTTGTTGTTGTTATTGTTTTGGAGATGGAGTCTCACTCTGTCGCCCAGGTTGGAGTGCAGTGGCACAATCTCGGCTCACTGCAGGCTCCGCC
This sequence comes from Homo sapiens, assembly GCF_000001405.40. NCBI lineage: Eukaryota > Metazoa > Chordata > Mammalia > Primates > Hominidae > Homo > Homo sapiens. Next base: position 61,084,396 of record NC_000009.12, on the reverse strand, counting down.
TCCCGGGTTCACGCCATTCTCCTGCCTCAGCCTCCTGAGTAGCTGGGACTACAGGCTCCCGCCGCTACGCTCGTCTATTTTTTGTATTTTTAGTAGAGACGGGGTTTCACCGTGTTAGCCAGGATGGTCTCGATCTGACCTCGTGATCCGCCCACCTCGGCCTCCGAAAGTCCTGGGATTACAGGCGTGAGCCACCGCACCCGGCCTAAAAAGATTTTATTTCCATTTTATTCTTGAAGGATAGTTTCTCTGGGTATATAATTTATAGTTGACAATTTTTTTTCTATCAGCCCTGAAAAAAAATATGCCATTCCTTCTGGTTCTGTAATTTCAGATGAGTAATCTACTATCATTCAAATTAGGGTTCTTTTACAGGCAGGTAATGTGTTATTCTCTCAGGCTGCTTTCAAGATTTGTTTTGTTTTGTTTCCAAAAAGTTCAATTATGATGGATCTTGGTGTCGATATTTTTGGGTTTATCCTTTTTTGGACTTAAACTTAACTTCCTAAATCTGTGGGTTTGTATCTTTCACCACATGTGGGAAGTTTACAGCCAGTATTTTTTCAGTACTCTTTCAGCACACTTTGTTCTCTCTTTTTGAGATTCGGATGATATTGTCTGATAGGACCCTATGGCTCAGTTCTTTTTATATTCAGTCTGTTCTCTCTTTTTTGGTCAGGTTAGATAAAGCCTATTGATGGGCCCTCAAGTTCAGTGATTCTGTCCTGTGTTTTTTCACTCTATTCTTGAGCCCATTCAGAGTTTTTTAAAACGTTATGTTATTGTATCTTCCAGTCCTGGGGTCCTAAGCTTCCTCTTTCTACCTTTCAGAATTCTCTTCGGTTGTCTTCTGTATTATTTCCAGAATCTATCATTATACTTGGTGGAAATAGCAGGGATAGACAAGTCTACAAGATCTTTTATCAGTCTAGAAGTTCACCCACTTACATCTTTTTGTTACTGTTTCTAAAAAAATACATTTTTACTACTTTATGGGGAATATGGGAGATTTAGATGTAAATTTATACTTGTACATTAGGATATAATGAGTGTTTTGCTCTTTAATCTGCGACAGTTTAATGGTGAAGTCGGTAACTTTTAAAGTGGCATTCCGAGAAGAGTGTATTAATTTTTAAAAATATCTTTTACGTTGTAGTAACAAGCTTTTAGCACATTTTTAAAAGATTCCTGGTACTAATCCCTCTTTAAATTTTCCCAGATTGCCTTTTTTGTTGTTGTTTTTTTTGTTTTTTGGCAGAGGGGCAGGTGATGGATAGTGGTGGTGGTAATGAATGCAGAGATCTTATCTATGAATGAGTTATAATTGAGTTGTAATAAGCAGTAAGGTAGAAGCTAAGTTCCAGATCTCGATTCATATTCCAATGGTAACAAGCTATTGAAATTTGAAAAACAGCACCACATGATCAAGCATGTTTAAAAAACTGGTTGAGTTAATCCAATTTCATTTTCCTCATGGCCTAATCTGTGATGACTGCAACTTGTGGCCTCTGACCCCTTTCCTTTTTTAAGATAGGTGGCCTGACACCTGCTTTTTAAATTATCCTAACTTTACTGTGATGTGCTGTCAGTCCATCACCCCAATCTTCACTCCCAACCCCTGGCAGCATCCCTTGTCCTAATATGCAGTTCTATAGATCTGAGTTAGTGTCTGACTCTATCATTTAATCATTGTCAGTGCTGAGAAGGAGGCGCACTCCTCAGAGCTGTAGTTGACCCAGGGCACTTTGTTTCTTTGCATGAGAAATCTCTAACCTCAGAGATGAGAAAAGCCTATCAATGTCATTCCTTAACCTCCAAATAAAGAGTCAGGACATCCAATGCAATAAAAACAAATACCTCCAAAAATTAGTAAGTACTGACAGAGAGTACGTGTATCTTTCCAAATGTGTAATATACAGGTAGTTAGCAAAAAGATGGGATGAGATAAATCAATGTCTTTGTATAATATTAAACTTTCTCAATGAACATTTCATAATTTCAAATAGATTTTATCTTTAGTGTGCAAATTACTCTGGTATTTATTTTAATGGTGAATTTTTTTGAATGTTATTTCTATAGAAAGTATGTATCACATGCAACTGACTGATTTCTAATAGAAGAAAAATAGATGGAATCATTTAAGCCTAGATATTGAAATATTGGGGGAAAAACATTGGTTAGGCTTAAAGAAACATTTCAGAGGTAAAATACAAGTGTTTAAGTATAGTTTCATTTTCTCTCTCTCTGCCTCTCACACATACACTTTACACCTGGGAGTAAAGGGAGCTATATGGGGAGGGTGATAGTGAGGGACAAAGTAGATGTCATCTTTCTTATACTTGTCTTTCAGATGGAACCCCACTGAGCTGGTGGGTTGGAAGAACCAATGAAACACACACTTCCTGGGGAGGTTCTCTGCCTGATGCTCAAAAGTGTACTTGTGGATTAGAGGGGAACTGCATTGATTCTCAGTATTACTGCAACTGTGATGCTGGCCGGAATGAATGGTGATTTCCACATGATTTCCCTGCACAAAAATGTGGTTTTTATTCTTTAATTATGCATAGTTAATTAAATGTCAGACAAGCTGGTACAATAAGGTAACTAGATTAAAGTATGTTCAAGCAAGCTGAAATACAAGTTTTGATGAAATATGATCAGTTAATCTAAGGATTAAATTTTATGACCAAAGATTTACTAATTCATTGTGAATACTATATAATGTGTTTTTTATTTTTCATAAAAGAGAAGCAGCTGTTAAGTTTTCCACTCACTGGAAATCAAATATCATTCTCTGCGAAGTTTAGTTAATTAATTAACGTAGTATTCATGTGGCAATTCAAAAAGCAAATTCCTCCAAATCTTTGTCTTAAATTGATTTGGGATATAATGCTGCATATTCTGTCTTTCTTTTAGAAATTAACATTAACACAAGAAACTCTGAGAGGTCCTGCATAAAAGGACTGTGTTTATTTTGTAGAAGCAACAATTTCCCACACTCATTGAAATCTTCAGTGCAATAGCAAAGCTTCAAGCACCAACTGTTCTGTAGACCATACTTTGAAACAACTAACATAGAATTTCCAGAATTTGAAAATTATTTTGTAAGCTTTCTTTTGAGCAGAAACAATTTTCTCATGTAGATTGCAATGCCTCTTTTTCAGAAGTTCTTTTTGAGGTTATTCTTGAAATGCATATTGGTTTTCTTTTTTTTTATTTGTAATATGTAAATGTTTTCAACCTTTGGGTTCATGTCAGCAACTTAAAAAGCATTGTCATAAAACAACTAGATCGTGTAGAGTACGTGCTTTAAAAAAAAACTTAGGCCAGGCACTGTGGCTCATGCCTGTAATCACAGCACTTTGGGAGGCCAAGGCAGGTGGATCACCTGAGGTCAGAAGGTTGAGACCAGCCTGGCCAATGTGGCGAAACCCCGTCTCCACTGAAAATACAAAAATTAGCCGGGTGTGGCTGTGTGTGCCTGTAGTCCCAGCTGCTCAGGAGGGTGAGACAGTAGAATTGCTTAACCCAGGAGGTAGAGGTTGCAGTGAGCCGAGATCGCGCCACTGCACTCCAGCCTGGGCGACAGAGCAAGACTCCACCTCAAAATAATAATAATAATAATTAATAAATAAAAAACGTAATGGTCAATCCAGGTGTCAGTATAATTGATTTGGACATAAAATAGCTAACCTAAGCAGTAATTTGATTCCTAAAAATTGAGTTGTTTGGCCTGCATGGTAGTCCACTTATTTATTTGGCATAAAAAGTCTACTTTGCATCACTTTAAAAAATATTGTGAAGTTGGGAAAACTCACTTGAATCTACTGGAGGTTTCTATAGAATACATACTATACATTTACATGGATATTATTTTTAATCTTCCTCAAGTTCAAAATTACAAAATGATCATACAGATTTATGAGACACTCTTTTTGAATATTTTGATATGCAATCTTAATACAACTTTCTCTTACTTAAAAATGAATGCAGTTTTAGTGCAGTGAGTAACAGGAACAGATCTGATCCATAGTTTCAAATCTGGCCACCAGTAAGTTTCAGGTCTGAAGTAATTTGCCGTCAGTTAAAATGGTTTTGTACCATATTTTGTATGATGTACATTTTAAAGTGTCTGGTATGATAATGTGATGATGTGTGTTAGCTTTGGGCTCTAATGAGACAAACAGCGACCTTCAAATCTTTTGACGGACATCTTTAACAATCCTGGAGGTTTTCATTTCCTCCATTCCACAAGGGGCTCCTGCCTGTGAGGGCTCCAGCCCTCCAGCTCCTGGCTGTTCAGAAGACCTCCAGCTCATTGGTCTGTCCCCACCCCCATTCTCTACAGGTCAGAAAGGAGAGCATTGGCAGGTTATTACAAGAAAGCCAGAATGGCATATATGCTAGTGGCTTTATAACTTAGTTCGAAGAATGTTAACCGTTTTGTTTTGTTTTTGTTTTGAGACAGAGTCTCTCTCTGTCGCCCAGGCTGGAATGCAGTGGTGCGATCTCAGCTCACTGCAACCTGCGCCTCCCGGATTCAAGTGATTCTCCTGCCTCAGCCTCCCGAGTAACTGAGATTACAGCCGAGTGCCACACCTGGCTAATTTTTGTATTTTTAGTAGAGACTGGGTTTCACTATTGGCCAGGCTGGTCAACTGTTTTTTTGTTACAGAACCTTCTGTTAGTATTAAGTGCATACTTTATTGTAGACTTCACGTATGCTTAGGGCAGTAACCAGAGGAACGTATCACTTGGAGCCACCTGTATTGAGTGACCCTCCCATGAACTGAGTTTGAGGAGGGGAATGGAAGGAACTGAGGTGGGTGCAGGTCCTCTGATACCCTTAGCCATGTCACTTCAGCACCGTCAAGGACTGCACTGGTGTGACAGAAGCCATGGGCTTTCATTTGGAAAAAAATTTAGGAGAGAAGCAGGTTTTAAAAATTAACTCCCCTCCTACATTCAGAAGGGAGCATTGTGGAGTCATTTGCTTTTTAACCTTATTTTATTTACTTTGCAGCTTCCAGTAGATAGGTCTATCCAACAGTAAGACCACAAGCATTCTGAAATCCTATCCCAACTCTTGTAGATTGTTTTGTAAATGTGGGGGTGTGTATGGGGGTGGGGGGGTGGGAAATTACAATTTCTATTTTAATTTTTCAAATAAAATTGATTTTTCAGTTTATAAAAATGGAATTTACCAGTCTCATGAAATGAAAAGATTTATAATTGTAATAATTTAGATTAAGGTATAGACATAAGAACATAAATCTTAGTCTTTATTACTTATTTTCTATTACTGAGGTGTGCCTAGTAAGGTTTTCCTGGTGGAAAGTTTATAATAAAAATAGTATTTGGGAATGAAAGTAAAGTGAAAGCTATTTTAAGTCTCTTCAGGCATATGTCCGTTAATGGGGCAGGCAGTATTGTTAATATAAACCATCGCCATTTTTCCATAAGTTGTCCCTGTAATCAGCAACTCGTCTAAGCATATTACTTAAAAAAAAGTTTATGATCAGACAGTTCCTCAGGCACAGTAAGAATATTCTATCAAATAACTATAACATGCCAAAGATTTATTATAAAAACAAATATATTTAAAAGGCACTATAATGATTTAAAATATTGAACTATGCTGCAAGTCAATATATGTGTATAAATGTATAGTGGACTATGTTCAAATAGACCAATATATTCTCTAAAATATACATATAACATATAATTCAGCTGTCTGCAAAAATCCACAAGTTGTTTTGCTAATATAATGATGACACATGTAACTGTAATATTATTTTACTTAAGAATTTAAATAGGACTTTTGTGTGATTACCTTAGAGTCTTTAAAAGTAACCACAAATAAAAAGCATAAAATAAGATGGTTTAAATGCATACAAGTGTACAAATAATCATAATAAATACGAGTAAACTCTGTTCATTTAAAAACCAGATATTAGATTTTATCATATTGGATTTTTAAAGAAGCTATAGCTTGTTTACAAAAGATAAAATATAAGCACTCGGTGAAGTTGAAACTAAAAGAATAGAAAATATTTACCACGTAAATACAAATCAAAAGAAAGCAGATATAGCTGTATTATGTCAGACAAAGATGAAAAGCATTGTTAGGGATAAACTTGAACTCTATCTAATGCTGAGATAAACTCACTAGAAAGATCTCACTACACTTGTGTGTATCATCAGATTGTTTAAAATATATAAAGAAGTGGCAGGGCGCCGTGGCTCACGCCTGTAATCCCAGCACTTTGGGAGGCCGAGGCGGGCAGATCACAAGGTCAGAAGATCGAGACCATCCTGGCTAACACAGGTGCAACCCCGTCTCTACTAAAAATACAAAAAATATTAGCCAGGCCTGGTGGTGGGCGCCTGTAGTCCCAGCTACTCGGGAGGCTGAGGCAGGAGAATGGCATGAACCTGGAAGGCAGAGCTTACAGTGAGCCAAGATCACACCACTGCACTCCAGCCTGGGCGACAGACCAAGACTCTGTCTCAAAAAAAAAAAAAAAAAAAAAAGTATGTGTGTGTGTGTATATATATATATGTGTGTGTGTATATATATGTGTGTGTATATATATGTGTGTGTGTGTATATATATATGTGTGTGTATATATATATATGTAACAAATATGCAAAGGCAAATTGACACCCAAAACAGTGGAATAATTAACATAACATTTTTGGGAATGAGTAAGTGAAGCAGGTAAGAATATTTTAATATTATAATTAACAAACTTGATATAGCAGCCATATATCGTTTAGTAAGGAAAAATTATTTCTTTATAGAATGTATTATACATTATTGTTGAATAAGTATAAAAAATTTTGTAAATGGATGGAATCTTAACAAATTTTACGGAATTGTCATGATGGAAACTATATTCTTAACTGTAATCAATAATGAATATATAATTTTTAAAAGCTCATGCATGTGTCAGTTAAAGACACAAGAGGAAATAAAATAGATGTAAGTGATAAAAAGTTTGGAAAAGAAACAAACCTGGCAGATATTGTAGATAATATGATTGCCTACATAGAAAATCCAAAATAATATAAAGAAATATCAGGAAAAATGAGAGTTCAGTAAGTTTGCTGAATTTATGGTCAGTCAGTATTGAGGAATTACTTGAATTTCTATAAAATCATAAAATACCATTACACACCTAGAAAAATTTTATTTGCAATATTAACAAAAATGTAAAGTTCTGTGGAATAACTGCAGTACTTTTATGGAAAAAATTACAAAACTTATTCAAGAGAATTAAGGACAGCCAAATAAATGGATTGACTCACTACTGTCGTGGATAGTATGACTCAGTATCTTAAAGCAGTAGTTCTCAATCGGGGGTGATTTCGACTCTTGGGACATTTGGCATTGTCTGAAGACATTTTTATCATCACAGAGAGAGGAAGGTTGTTTATATTAGTGTCTATTAATTAGAAATCAGGGTGCTGCTGAGCATCCTACAGTGCACAGGACAGCCCCCCCCATGACAAAAAAAAATTAGCCCAAAATATCAGTAACGCTGCTGTTGAGATACCCTCTTTTAAAGTTGACATTCTCCTCAAATTAGTCTGTAATTTTAACAAAATTCCAAAAAATGCCAAGTGTTTTTACTTGTGTGGATTGCAGCAACCTGGTTTTAAAATTCATATGGAAATTAAGGATGAAAGGATAAGCAAGATAATTTTTAAGATGAAAAATAAAGTGAAGAAACTAGTTCTGTTAGCTGTCAAAACATACTGTATTGCTGTAGTAATTAATGCAGGTTGAACTGGCCAGAAGATAGGCAATTAAACAGAAACTGAGAATCTAGAAATTTTTTAAGTGGGTTAGATGTGGATCATAATGATTTTATTATTGCTGACCTACTCCCCCAAAATAATCATTAACAGTTGGGCTGGGCGCGGTGGCTCACACTTGTTATCCCAGCACTTTGCGAGGCCAAGGCGGGCGGATCATGAAGTCAGAAGTTCGAGACCAGCCTGACCAACATGGTGAAACCCCGTCTATACTAAAAATACAAAAATTAGCTGAGCGTAGTGGCGCACGCATGTAATCCCAGCTACTCTGGAGGCTGAGGCAGGAGAATCGCTTGAATCCTGAGGGTGGAGGTTGCGGTGAGCAGAGATCACACCATTGCACTCCAGCCTGGGCGACAAGAGTGAGACTCTGTCTCGAAAAAAAAAAAAAAAAAAGTTAAAAAGTTGACTCAACATTTCTCCCTTTTAGCTTTCTTTGCAACCTCCCAAACTTATGGCTCTACTTTGCCTTAAATAAAGTTCCCTGGCAAATAATAAGTAGTAGCTTTTAGAAGTTTTCACACTTCCTAGGAAAGTACAATTTCCAGAACCGTAGGAATTTCTAATAAATAAAAATTTTAGTAAAATATAAAATAAAAGCAAAAAGTCTTTGAAAGTTCTCTTACTGAATTTTTAATACTGCTCCAAGAGATTATGGTACCTATGAAAGCACTATTTCCAAGTGTAGACTATAGTATAAGCTTTAGAAAATAATAGGGAGAAAAGAAAAATGAGATGTCCCTATTAATTAGGAAGTTTTGAGGAAGTCTGATAACTATTACAAATCCTGAGTATTCTATTTTGATTTCCAAAGGTTGGGAATCTGCCTGTAACAATAAGAAACTGGTGAAAAACACTGGCTATCTTTATGCTCAGAATGAAAACACCAGACTTTCCAAAACAATGAAAAAACAAGACTTTACTATAGTATCTGCCCTAATTAAACTGAAATGTGGATTTCATTTACACATTCTCAATATTTTGCACAGTCAGTATTGAAAATGGAATGAAACTTGGAGCTCCCGTGAAATAGATCTTTTAAAATACAAGCATCCTCCATAAATAATTAAATTGCATTTTCTCTACTAGACTATCTTGCTAAAATGATGATCACAGAAGTGGAAATGGTAATTTTTAATGGCTACCACATTAATAAAAAATTTCCTAGACCTACCTCATTCAGCAGGAGACATATTTCTAGCTTGTCTACCATCAATCCACTCTAAAGCTGAATGGTGATGCCTTTAGATAATCCATATTCTGTTCTTTGCATTAAAATGAATAACAGAATCTTAACTAGGTAAAGCAACAGGGTTTTAGTCTGAATTTTAGAAATAAGCTTTCTTTACCATTAAGTGTATTTTTTCAGGGAATAATCTTAAATAATATAGCCATTTTATTTTAGTTTTATATTTTCCAGTTTGAAAGTTTGATACCTAAAGTCTTTTATAAAAGAAGTTGATTAATGGGTACAAAAGTCGAGTTAAGTAAAAGAAATTCTAGTATTTGATAGAACTAGAGAAATTATAGTTAACAGTAATTTATTGGATATTTCAAAATAGCCAGAAGAGAATTGTAATGTTCCCACCACAGAGGATAACTGCTCAAAGTGATGGATATCCCAATTACCCTGATTTGATCATTATGCATTGTATTCTAGTATCAAAATAGCACATGTGCCCCCAGTATATGTACAACTCTGACATGCCAGTTTAATTTTTTTTAATTCAGAAAGCCTTATTCTGAAAATACATAAGTGTTGCAATGATGAAATATCAATTATTGTGATCTTTTGCCACAAATGCATACAAAAGAAGGTTTGAGAACTGGGCAATTTAAAACATACAGTATTTACTAGATACTGTGGAGTTTCTAACCGTAACTGGACTAAGAGTGTTTTGTCTGTAAATCAGAATATACATGCAGTTGAGACATATATGTAATAAAATATAACCAAAAGTATATAAATATAAGCATTTTATTATATATGCATATATGCAATATTATTGGCCAAATATTTATTACATATACAGTTACATACACATATATAATAAAATACTTTTGCAGCAGAGTAGACAAATGCCTTTATTTTGGCCAGAGACAAAATTAGTGGCATAGCTAAGACCAGGACCCCAGGTTCCCCTAGGGGATCCTCCAGGTCTCTTTGTATTGGACCCAGACGTGTGCATTTATTTTCCCAGTCACATAATTAATACTCATGGTATTCAACAGGCTGTGTGCTTTCAGAAGGCAGAGACTAAAATATATTTTTTACTCTGTGTCCTCAATTCCCAGGACAATGTCTGTTCGACAAAAGGTGAGCGCTGAGTGTTTGGGGTTTTTTGTTTGTTTTTTGTATTTTTTGAGACAGGGTCTCACTTTGCCACCCAGGCTGGAGTGCAGTGGTGCACACATGGCTCACTACAGCCTCTACCTCCCAGGCTCAAGGTATCCTCCCACCTCAGCCTCCCATGTAGCTGCTACAGGTGTGCACCATCACACCCAGCTAATTTTTGTATTTTTTGTAGAGACGGGGCCTCACTATGTTGCCCAGGCTGGTTTCGAACTCCAGAGCTCAAGCAATCTGCCCACCCCAGTCTTCTAAAGTGTTGGGATTACAGGCATGAGCCACTGTGCCCGGCCTGTGTTTGTTGCCTGAACTACTGGGAGCAGTGTTTCACAGACCACTTTCACACTCATTAGTCTATGTATTACTTATAAGGGTGTAGTATGTATTTGGTTTTGAATCTGTGGGACTCATTTTGCATTTACAAAGTTAACAAGGAAAGAAATACCCAGTAATCATAAAACGACTTTAAAAAATAATGATAAATTAATATTCTGCAAAATGAATATCTAAATCCAGTGTTACTATTTTTATTTGTAATGAATAATCACTTAGATATTATTCTAAGACAATTTTAGAAGGGAAGTTACCTTCTTGATTTTTCCCCTTCTCTGTAATCATTTAGATCAGGAATTGGCAAACGGGTCAGGAATTGATAACCTCTTGCTTTGGGTGAAATCCAGACCACTAGTCTATTTTTGCATGGCAGTGAGCTAAGAATGTTTTCTTTACATTTTTAAAAGGTTGAAAAATAAAAAGAATATTTCATGTCATATAAAACTTGTATGAAATTCAGATTTCATATCCATAAATTTTTATTGCAACCCAGCCATGCCTGTGTCTGTGGCTGCTTTCACACTTGGTGGCAGAGTTAAGTAGTTGCTGTGAGAAGCTGCATGGCCTGCATAGCTTACTGTATGGTCCTTTACACAAAATGTTTGCCCATCCCTGATTTAGATTCATGGTAGTCTCTGTGCTCTCAAAATATTGAAAATGTTAAGTATTCTGTTAAGCTCTATGATGTTGGTTTCAAATTGAGATAAGAGATCAGAGTTAATTTTGCCCGTATGTTAATCAGAATAATTTTAATGGTTTCGGTTGTTGTTCTTTAGGACTAGTGACACAATAGTCCTTTCCCAAAAGGAGCACCTCCCAGTCACTCAGATTGTGATGACAGACGCAGGCCAACCACATTCCGAAGCAGATTATACACTGGGGCCACTGCTCTGCCGCGGAGATAGTAAGTAGTGTCAAGAAAAAGCTTTATTTTCATAATAACTTTTTTTGGTTATAAAGGGGTAGACAAATGCCCTTGTTCTTGCCAGAAAGAGAATAGTGGCAGTACTAGGACTGGGGTGAATATCAGGAAAACACACATACCATAAAGGCACAGTCAGTACTGAAGATCTGTGTTTCCTTACTGAAGCATTAGTTTATAGAAAATGAATCATCTTTGTTTTAACTTATTACTTGCTTGGCTGGATTTATTATCAATTGATTGTATTTTTTCCAGAACAATCATGAGATGAACTATTTTCTGAATGCTAAGGGATATTTATTCATTGCCCTTATACTCTTCAGACAACTATAGTGGTAGGAAATTATTGGACACTCTCTATTTTCTGACCTCTGTACATACTGTTTTACATTACATGGCACCGAATGTGTATTAATCTCTTTCCTGCAGCATTTTCGTTCATGGGTGGCTTTCATGGTCAAGTCCTCGCTCCCCCACCTCAGTGGCACTATAAGCCCAGGGTTCTTAGAGGATCTACCTACTGGGTAGCACGGGAACCACAACTAAGCTAGTAAAAATCTTCTTTCCCTGAGAAAAATTGTAATAGTGTTTCTTACCCACTAGCATCATACATTGCCGTGGAGAAGTCTGAGACTAAATGTATTTTTATTTCCTGTTCTACCTCAATGTGTGGAGGCTACTTCTGAGAGGGATGGTTCAACAAGGAGCCTGAGCCTCTCTGTACATTCTTGCCGAGTGTGCCAGATGGTGTGGTGTCTCCATCCCCTAATACCAAGCAGTTTCTGTAGCCAATCGTGTAGGCAGCTAAGTAGTTCAAAGAGAACACAACATCACTATCGACGCGTACTCACTCCCCAGAGAGGGCGGGGACCGGCTTGTCTCCTGCTTGATGAAGGAGTCCCGGACCCTTGTCTGGGGGCTCCTCATCTGAGATGCAAACCTACCCACTGTGTGTGTAGCATCCACCTGGGCCAATGGATTGTGTTGCCCTGTGAAATTTGGAGATAAGGGGAACCAATGCAAATATTCTGACACTCATGCTGCATGCTGTGCTGTGAGCAATAAAGTTCTTTAACTCTGACCCGGAAATTTTGTGTTTTCTATCAGCATCCATTAATCTGTGGCAAGCTAAATTGTTAGCTTGCAAGTAGGGTGAAATCTCAGACTCTTCACAGCTCTTGACAGATATGTTATCCTTCAATTTCAAAAACTTATCCAGAATATGCCTTAGCGTTAATTATTCTGTTAATTTTTTCTAAAATGAAATATGCTTATTTTGACCGAAATATTCTGTTCTCTTTTAAGAAAAAATGGTTTTTATTATGCTTTGAATACTTTGTTTCATTTGTTGGATTCTCTGCATCTAGGACTGTTGACTTGTTTCCTTTGCCCCCCATACATTTTTTCTGTTTCTTCCAATGGCTTTAATCTCTTTGTCCTTCTCCTATGCATTCAATATGATTATTCTAAGCTTTTCCCAATGTCAGTAATTTGTTATCAGCTGTGTTCTCCATTTCCAGATATTTCCGATTTCTCTGTTACCTCTGTGATTTTGTTTGGGTCTTTGATTTTTTTTTCCTTAAAAATCATCTTTTCTGTTTATCTCATATTTTAGCTCTTATTTTACTGAATTGGTTTTTATATTATTCCCATAGTGTGAAACTCTTATGAAATTTTTCTTTCCTTGTGTTCTCTCTTAATTTCCTTCCTCCATCCCATTCAGATGGCTCCTTCCTTCCTTCCTCCCTCCCTCCCTCCCTCTTTCTCTCCCTCCCTTCCTCCCTCCCATTCAGTCTGGCTTTTATACTCCTTCCTTCCTTCCTTCCTTCCTTCCTTCCTTCCTTCCCCACTCCCTCCCTCCCTCTCTTCTTTCTTTCTCTCTCTTTCTTTTCTTTCTTTTTCTTTCTTTCTTTCCTGTCTTCTTTTTTTCTTTCTCAGTATGTTTGCACTGTTTCTGTGCTTTTTGAAACATTGTTTATACTTGTAGTGTAAGTCTACACTACAGGTCTGTCTGGCAGGTCTGTCCAGACATTTAATTCATTTATATGGAATGGAGTTGAATTCTTCTCGACATTCATCTCTTCACAATCAGACACATACTTCTTGTCCCTTCTGAACTGCAATAGCAGGACTAGAGTTGGTCATCCTATCAATATTTTTTCCCATAATCTAAGAGCTCAAGGGAGGGATCTGTTGAATTGTATCTGATTTACTGGCCATTCTCTGTGCTGTTTTATCTTCAAGAATTATTAAATGTCCTGTGCCAGGCATCACACTGAAGCATGGAGGGTATATCTGCAGGCTTCAGATGCCTCCCACAGTTCAGTAATAACCCCTGGAAATTTGTAGCCTTTTCCCCTGCCTATTGATACTCTGACATCAAACACTGGTTTCTAGGTACTCTGTACTTCTCAGAAACATTTTCTAGATTATTTTCTCTCTGGAAATTTACCTCAGCCCTTCATTTCTCTCCAAATGTGGCTGTATTTGTGAGACTCTTCAGGATATGTCATTCACCTTCAGTTTATATCTTACTTTCAGCAAGACTTCTGAAAGTATGGAGAAGAGAAAGTGTGATATTTGAAATATTCCCTTCTCTTTTTGGGAGACTGAGATGGGAGGATGGCTTGAGCCTAGGAGTTCAACACAAGCCCGGACAAGATGGTAAGACCTTGTCTCTTACAAAAAAACTAAAAATTAGCTGGGCATGGTGGCCTGTAGTCCCAGCAACTAGGAAGGCTTAGGTGAGATGATCTCTTGAGCCCAGGAATGTGAGGTGGCAGTGAACTATGATCATGCCACTGCACTCCAGCCTGGGTGACAAAGTGAGACCTCATCTCTAAAATAAATAAATAAATTGATTAATGAAGAAAGAAAGAAAAATAAAATATTATCTTCTGTAAAACTTGTAGCTTCCTCTTCGTTTCTCTTTTCCTTTCCTTCATCTCTGTTTTCTTTAACATAACACTTATTGATTCTTTTCCCTTCTTTTGGGGCAGCTGGGACTAGGGGATCTGCAGGGATAGGGTCAAGGAATGACCACTGGGTTAGAAGCTTGGTTCCACACTGGGGAATGAGCAAATCTGTAAATACAGTAAGGAGAGTAGGAGTGACCTCACTGAGGAAAGAGTTATACATGTGGGAAGGAGGAAGACTGTAATGAACCCTGTGGTGCTGGGTTAAAAACGGAGGTATCCACATGAACTCATGGATTTTAATATACATAATAGATAACTGTAGAATACACATAGAAGAGAGAGACTGCGTGTGTGTATGTGTGTGTGTGAGAGAGAGAGAGAGATACAAATACACATATTTCCTAGCTGACTACTGAGAGGGCTAGAAGCAATGACACCCTAGTAAATAGCCTGCAGATCTGGGCTTCTAAACACCATTTTCTGTCATTCTCTGCTAAAAAAGAAACCACGACTCCTTGAAGAAATGGCTGATTCCAGAAATGTGGCAGAGAAAATTTAAGATGAGCCTGGATCATTTTGTCATGACAAAGGGGAAAAAAAAAGCTGAAAAAGGCATGGGTGTCAGCTTAAAGGAGCTGCCACATTTGAGACAACTTAAGCATCAAAATAAGTTATAGAGTATAAACCATTGAATAGAATACAAATTCAAGAGTGACGTGAATAAACAAATGCATAAATACACAAATAAATTAGTAAAAGATCAAGAGAAAAGCTATTTCTTGGTTTGTTTATTTGTTTGTTTTTGAGATGGAGTCTCGCTCTGTTGCGCAGGCTGGAGTGCAGTGGCACGATCTCGGCTCACTGCAAGCTCCGCCTCCCGGGTTCACGTCATTCTCCTGCCTCAGCCTCCCGACTAGCTGGGACTACAGGCACCCACCACCATGCCTGGCTAATTTTTTGTATTTTTAGTAGAGACGGGGTTTCACCGTGTTAGCCAGGATGGTCTGGATCTCCTGACCTCATGATCCGTCCGCCTTGGCCTCCCAAACTGCTGGGATTACAGGCGTGAGCCACTGCACCTAGCCGAGAAAAGCTATTTCTGACGGAGGCATGTCAACCAATTAATGTGGAAGGAATGACAGAGCTTAGAAAATCACCATTGGCAGCCATCAGAATAAAAATTCAATCAGGAGCCATCAATATATTGTAAAACCATTGGATGAAAAAATTTTAAACTGGGTAAAGTTGTGTTTCTGTAACCTTAAAGTGTCAAAAATACATGAAAAAAGAGAAAAATAATAACTTCATGTTGGAGAAACTGGACAAATGCCACTTTACAAGGCACTTGAAACTAACAGGACCAGTGATGGGCTGATCAGCATTGCTGCCTGCTGCTGCGACACACTGAGGAGAACACAGCAGCCCTTCTGTGGTATTTTTGACAAAAATGCACAACATGAATCCAATCATGAGTATGTCAGACAAATCCAAGTTGAGGAACATTCTGCAAGTCAACTGAAAAATACCAAAAAGTCAAAAGTACACAGAAGATAAGAAAAGACTCACACACTGTACCAGAATAAAGGACACTAAAGAGGCCTGAGTAATACATGTGATGTGCAGTCCTGTGATGGGTTTTGGACAGAAGGGAACAAATAAGCTTCTTCTTGTTCTTGATTGTTCTTGCCATGAAAGGAATTAAGACAGTGTGTGTGTGTGTGTGTGTGTGTGTGTGTGTGTGTGTGTGTGTGTGTGTGCAGGAAGGAAAGCAAGAGTCTGTGTTCTGGCTTCTGGAGTCATTTATCCAACTACCTCCTTCAAATCTCCACTTGGATGCCTAATAGATATCTCAAATGAAGCATGTCCCAAACTGAGCTGCTGCTCGAACCTGCTTCTTTAGAATTATTTCCCTTCCTAGTTAGACCAAAAACCCCAAAGTCACCTCAGACTCCACCCTTCTTCTCACATCTTACCGAGTTCTTCAGTAAGTTCTGTTGGTCGTATCTTTGAGGTGATTCTGAACTTGACCCTGTCCCTACTGTGTTGCTGCGCGATCCCCTGACTGGTCTCATTGCTTTTGCTTCGCTTTTGTTTGGCCTTCTCTGAACACAGAATTCCAATCCTCAGCGTAATCACTATTTAGCTCTTGATGTCATCAGTATATGACATGGATGCTCAGAACCCCCAGTGAAAGCTCATATACATTCTATTAATGTATTTAGCAGTCATAATCCTGTAAGTATCAAATGTAGCTGTTATTTTTGTTTCATGACTTTTTTTCCTTTTGTCGTTTTCTCTATTGTAAACAGAGTCATTCTGGAATTCAGCTTCCTTCAACACTGAGACTTCATACCTTCATTTCCCTGCTTTCCACGGAGAACTCACTGCTGACGTGTGCTTCTTTTTTAAGACCACAGTTTCCTCCGGGGTGTTTATGGAGAACCTGGGGATCACAGACTTCATCAGGATTGAGCTGCGGGGTAAGCTGGCCACTCTGGACAAGTCACAGGATACCCATTATTTAGCAATAAAAGCTTTAACTCAACAAAATGGTAGTATTTCATTCTTACTTTGTGATTCTATTTCATTATAAAACACTAAACTTCTATGATTTTAGGTAATTTTTTGTTTTTGAGAGAGGGAGAGAGCATTTTGCTGTGTCACTCATGCTGGAGTGCAGTGGCATTATCTCGGCTCACTGCAACCTCAGCCTCCTGGGTTCAAGCAATTCTCCTGCCTCAGTCTCCTGAGTAGCTGGGACTATAGGCACGCACCACCATGCCCAGCTAATTTTTGTATTTTTAGTAGAGGTGGGGTTTTGCCATGTTGACCAGGCTGGTCTTCAACTCCTGGCCTCAAGTGATCCGCCTGCCTCGGGTTCCCAAAGTGCTGGGATTACAGGTGTGAACTGCCACACCCAGCCAGTAATCATTTTTAAGAGAAAATAAAACAATGAAGCACGTAATAATCCATTAAAATGTCATGCCTTTCCTAGAGTACTGAACAGCAGAGCCAGAGCTTTAAACCAAACTCATCACATTGTTTACTGAATTCCAAAAATATTTGACCAGACATATTGTTTTTTATGTACCCAAAGCTTAATTTATGACTGTCAAAATTTACATTCAGTGTTTATAGAATTAGATGAGACTTTGAGCCGTTTGTAAATAAAATTACTGAAACCTCAAAAACAAATACTATTTGGTATTCTAGCTATGGGTACATAGCTATGGGTAGTCCAGCTATGGGTACATATCTCTACTATTTAGGACTTAACAAGGTTGAATTGTGAACTCTGAGGATAAATATGTTAAAATCCGTTCTGTTTTCCTCCAGGATACAGATTTATTCTGCCCCCACCCCAACTCACAGTCTTGTTTTTCTGCATCGCCGTCATTATCTCCTTCCATCCTGAGCGTGCCTTCATGTTTTCCTGTGTCTGCACAAGACTCAATTTTCTGTGAATTTGCTTGAGCAATATTCATATCTAATATTTCTAGCTCCCACAGAAGTGACCTTTTCCTTCGATGTGGGGAATGGACCTTGTGAGGTCACGGTGCAGTCACCCACTCCCTTTAATGACAATCAGTGGCACCACGTGAGGGCAGAGAGAAATGTTAAAGGAGCGTCTCTTCAAGTTGATCAGCTTCCTCAGAAGATGCAGCCTGCCCCTGCTGATGGGCACGTTCGTTTACAGCTCAACAGCCAGCTCTTCATTGGTGAGTGCTGGTGGTTTATAACTGAATTTAGTGTGAGTCCAGAGAGGGACCAAAAGAAATTAAGAACTGTGATGTACTGAGAGCAACAGTTGCCAACAACTACTGCTTATTGGTACTATTTGCTGATAACCTGGTAGGTTCCAGGAGCTTGCTGTGTGCTTCTTATTTGACATTTCTTTTGTTTGTTTGTTTGTTTTTGTTTTTGTTTTCAGACAGAGTCTCACTGTGTCGCCCAGGCTGGAGTGCAGTGGTGCAATCTCAGCCCACTGAAACCTCCACCTGCCGGGTTCAAGCGATTCTCCTGCCTCAGCCTCCTGAGTAGCTGGGATTACAGGCGCAGGTGCCACCACGCCTGGCTAATTTTTGTATTTTTAATAGAGACACGGTTTTACCATGTTGGCCAGGATGGTCGTGATCTCTTGACCTGATGATCCACCCACCTCAGCCTCTCAAAGTGCTGGGATTACAGGCGCGAGCCACCGGGCCCTGCAGTATCTCAGTGTTTAGGTATCAATGTTTAGGTATTGTCATCTGTTTACAGATGAGATAGCCAAGCCTCAGAGAAGTGGAGTAACCAGCTAATGAGAGGGATCCCAGGATAGCCAACCCCCAAACTTGAACCATTCACAATGCAGAGGATTGGCATATGTGACAGCTATATTTTATCAACACTATTAGTGAGATCATTAGACATTTTTATCCATTCCTTCAGTTTCACTTCTCGGTGGAGTTAGAGAGCTTGTAATTGGGACAGAAGTCCTCCAGGGTCCACTCAAAACCAGATCGCAGGATACCCGCTGATTGGAAGCAGCACTGCGCACCTCCCCCGCGGCCAGGCTTCCAGGAGCCCACTCCCGGTTTTCCTCGCTGCTGTTCTCACTTCTGGGGCTCTCTCATCACAGGCTCCTTGTTTATAACCCGGTCTGGCTCATCTGTTCTTGCACTCCATTTATTTAAAGGTGATAGCTCTGGAAGTCTTTCCTTTAGTTTGCTTACTTACTGTTTTATCACTGTTGTTTATTTTTCCATATTGCTTTTGAAACTATTCTAACGTAGGAGCTACACAGATTAAAGCTCTCACTTGTTCATTCTTAAGTGTTTTAAAGCGAATAAGGATGCAATCTAATTAAAACTGGACTAAATCACAAATTATCATCCAACCTAATTTACAGGGGAGGGTAGATACAACTTCCAGGTACTAAATGTTACACATGAACCCATGTATGTATGTGGATGTGGATGGGGTGTTATACCATGACTTCCTAAAACCTAGCTTCAGGCGTGGTTAGCTCTTCTATTAAGTTGCAGTGAGGCTTTTTCAAAGGACATGAAACCATCAAACTACTGGAAAGGAGGACTACACGGAGGGGTCAAACCAAGAACTTGATTTTCTCACTTGTAATCTTGGAGATTATTTAAGGGAATGCCTAGAAACACAATTAGCATAAAATTCACCTAGAATCAGCATTCATTGCGGTGGATGAAGCACTGGCTTCAGAATCACCCACAAAGCTGATTGATAGTTCAGATTTGGGGCCCCCACCTTAGGCCACCGAATTGGAATCTCTGGGAGGAGGCTAAAAACTGCATTTTTCCAGAAACTCTAGGTAATTTCCATGCTCCTAACATTGAGAATTGTCGCCTTCGTAATGGTGTTTGTCACTACACAGGTGTTGTAAACCTCTCTAAATGGTTTCTTCAGCATTCAAGTTTGACATGACAAAATGTGCATGCATGCAGTATTCAATTACTGTTTAGCACTGTACCCTCTGAGAGGAGGAGATCCTGGGGTATGGTGTCACCCCTTCCAACTTCCCCTCCTTTGCTTATCCATTTCCTTTCACACTTTATTTTTAGAGTCCATCCAAGTAACAAATTTATCCATATATATTTTTATTATTGTGAAAAATTTGGAAGTTCATACCTAACCATTATAATGCACATTCTTATTCATAAAGAAATTAAAATAATGTTTGATGAATGCACATTCTTATTCCTAAACAAAGTAAAATAGTGTTTGATGTGATTTATATTATGTATTTTGTTCTTTGTAAAGGAACTAAAGTGAAATTCTTTCTTACCTGAAGTTAAGGAAATGTTTTTAGAAGGACTATTTGCCAGACTCACCATGTTTGAAAGTTATGTAAATAAATGTTTTATTCAATGTCATTTAAAGCTGCATATCTCATAACAGTTATATTTTCAAAATTGTATATGTTCACAAAATTTTTTGACACATTGTGATTATTGCCACTCTCCATAAGGCCTGAGTTTGACATGGACATAAAATCCTGAATAAAATACCAAGGAACACATTTCTATTTGCAGTGTTTCCGTTGTAGGTGGAACGGCCACCAGACAGAGAGGCTTTCTAGGATGCATTCGGTCTCTGCAGTTGAACGGGGTGGCCCTGGATCTTGAAGAAAGAGCCACAGTGATGCCAGGAGTGGAGCCAGGGTGTGCAGGACACTGCAGCACCTATGGACACTTGTGTCGCAATGGAGGGAGATGCAGAGAGAAACGCAGGGGGGTCACCTGTGACTGTGCCTTCTCAGCCTATGATGGACCGTTCTGCTCCAATGGTAAGTGTGACCAAGGAGCAGGTTATAGGGAAAGTACATGAAACTTAAATAGTATGAAGAATGCTTCTGGCATTTGATATTATAAAGAGAGGATAAGATTGAATTATTTGAAATGGAATAATTTCTGTACCAAATTCCTCTATTGAATTTAGAAGGGATATGACTGTTTTTGAAAACTTAAGGCTATCAGTCCTCTCTGGGTTTCTTATTTAGAAGATCTCTGGGTTACCCCAGCATCTGTTCAATGCTAATCCTCTTGAAATAATTTGGTTTTCAAAACTCTGTCCTTGTACTGTTCTAATTTTAACATCAGTAAAGCATCATTCTTATTTTTGTTTTTAATTTTTAGAGACAACGTATTGCTATTCAAGCCTCTCTGTTGCCCAGGCCGGACTTGAACTCCTAGGCTTGAGCAATCGTCTTACCCATTGTCCCTTGTGACAGTGACTTTAAGTGATTCAAAAGGCCTTTATAGAAATGTCTTTTCTTATAAAACAAACATACTAACTAGAAGGGGAAAAGAATACTTAAATATTGACAGTCATTAACAGGATCACTCAAACACTTTGCTCTATGATGTTTGACTCTTCTTAGAGGAGTGCAGTGGGGTATCACACAGCTTCTGCTCAGGTACAATCATGTTTTCAAAAGAAAAGGGCTGGGCGTGGTGGCTCATGCCTGTAATCCCAGCACTTTGGGAGGCCAAGGCAGGCGGATCACGAGGTCAGGAATTCAAGACCAGCCTGGCCAACATGGTGAAACCTCATCTTTACTAAAAATACAAAAATTAGCAGGGCATCCCAGCTACTCGGGAGGCTGAGGCAGGAGAATTGCTTGAACCCGGGAGGCAGAGGTTGCAGTGAGTCGAGATCGCACCACTGCACTCACTCCTGGGCGACAGAGTGAGACTCCGTCTTGGGGGAAAAAAAAAAGAAAAGGAAAAAGGGACTGATTTTAGTATTAAGTACTCTGTACTGACTTATTTAATATATTTGTAATACTTTTATGAAACCTCTTACAATATTGATTCATCAGAGCTAAAATGTAATTGTGTGTTTAAGTGTCTCTGGGCTGTTACACTTACTATTTTTAGCAGCAAAACAGGCTTTAATCACTATAAATTGTGTGACTTTCAAAAGAATTTTGAGGATTCATTATCTAGAAGTCATTTAAATTTTCAGAAGGTCTTGCATATGTCTTTTATTAGTCCTGAAGATCTCTGTGCTCACAAATCTCATAGCTCTGGTGCAAATACAGAGCTCTTTTTATATCTCAAGCCAACATCAGGAGTAACCACTCCTTCATGAGCACAAGTGCTGATTTCTAAATCATTCCCAATCCACATTTGCTAAGTGCAATTTGAATGTTATTTTATAACCCAAAATTTTCTTAAGGATAGACATTATATGGTAAGTAAATGGAAAATGGTCCTCCAGTGGCTGGGGCATATGTTATAGTTAGATTACCTAATCTAATAAGAATGATCTGGATTTTCAGTAAATTCTTTATATTTTATGGAAATGGAAAGAGTGGAGTAGTATTCCAAGACAGTGATCATCACCCAACATTTTCTTTTTATTTACAGATACATTTGGGGTGTGTGTGTATGTGTATGTGTGTACTAAACACATTTTTGGAATTAACTTGATATAAAATTAAAATATCAACCTTTCATAAAGTGTTTTAAGAGAAGCTGAAAGACCTTCAACTTTTCTCTCTCAGAATACTGTAGATACCACTTTGGATTAGCCTTTCTATCCAGACAGTAAATTTGAGAAACATCTTTGGCATAAAAGAACATTTCTAAATTCTGACCTTGAAGGAGGGTTGGTCTTCAAATCACCTTTTCTCTAGTTACTTCAGGAGCTCTGTTTCATGCTTCCTACAAAGCAAATCGATTTTTAAAGAGGAGGTAACATTCAAATAAAAAACCTGGTACTCTGGCATTTCCAGGCTGGCCACATAAGGAGCTCTGTAAACCCTCTCTCATACGAAACAGGCATAACTAGTAAAAATTATTATTTTAAAAAACAACTATTGAAAGTCTTTAGAAAATGTCCTAAGGAAATACATCCAATGGAGAAACATTTATTAATCAGTAATAACAGTGAGAGTTTGAGGCATTTAAGCCAAGACCCTCTCCCTGCACCTCCCCATCCCTAGCTCAGTATGACGGAAGCTCCACTCTATATGGATATAGCCAAGAAGCCAAAGGTTTCCTCTCTACCCAGGTCCTACTACAGAGATACTGCATTACCCCAAGATTGGGTGCCAGCATTTCTTGTCATCCCCAGTTTTGTAGGACAGAAGCTCTGTCCACGCAGAAACAGCTGAGAAGTCTGGGGTTTCCTTCCTACACCAACTCCTCATTCCAGGACATAAGGTCTTCAGGTGTGGCAGCTGGAAAAATCCTGTGTCCCAATTGCCCTCACTCCAGCTTACTTGTAAGGAACAGTTTCTCCACCAGGAGAGGCAAGGCAAGAAGTTACCTTTCCCACCCTGTGCCCTACTTGTAAGCAGAGGTTTTACTACAAAGGAGCAGGCCACTCTCACTCTCCACAGCTTCAGAGCAGTGAGGCACATTTAACCAAGAGGTAGAGGGAGGCCATGAAAATACACAGCTTGGTAGCCCTCCCCAAGTGAACTGATTTCTATTTGGAACAGAGCATGGATAAGTTTAAGCTAGTGGTATGAAGATATTGGCAGTAAGCAATTAAGAGAATGTTGATAACTCCAAGAGAGTAATGAGTTAAGCCAGGGAAGTTTAACAGAGAAAAGAAAAAAGAATCAGCAAACTTGAAGCAAGATCAGTAGAGATTATGTATCCTGAAGAATACAGAGAAATAATAATGAAAAAAATAAACAGATCATCAGAGAAATATCAGACATAACTAAGCACACCAACATATACGTAATTGAAAACACCAGGAGAGAGAGAAAGGATCAGAAAAAAATATTTGAAAAATAATGGTTGAAAACATTCCCAAATTAATAAAAATCATTAATCTAAGATACAGAAGCTCAGTGAAATACAGATGACACAAAGAAGTTTATATCCAGACACATCTTATTAAAAACTTTGAAAGCCAAAGTCAAGAAGGAAATTTTAAAAGCAGTAAGAGAAAAATCATATATACAAGGAAACGCCAGGATCAACAGCTAACTTCTAATCTGAAAGAATGGAGGCCAAAGGACAGTGAGATAACATATTCAAAGAGATGAAAGAAAACCATTGTCATGAAGAAACTTACACCCAGCACAACCATCTTTCATGTTCAGTAGCACAGGATGACTATAGTTAACAATAATTTATTGTATATTTCAAAATAACTAGAAGAGTGGAACTGGAATGTTCCTAACAAAAAGAAATGATAAATGTTTAAGGTGATGGATATCTCAGTTACCCTGATTTGATCATTACACATTGTTTGGTTGTATCAAAATATTACCTCTACCCCATAAATACATACAACTATTAGGTATTCATAAAAACTAAAAATTATAAAAGATAGTAAATATATCCCTACTTACAAAAAGCAGAGAATTCACTGCTATTAGCCTGCATTAGAGGAAATAACAAAGAATGTTCCTTCAGGTTGAAGGGACATAACCCAGACAATAATCTGAATCTACACACAAAAAACAAATAGCACTAATAAAAGTAAGTGTGCAGGTAATTATAAAAGAAAGTATAATGTCATATTTCTTACCCTTTTCAGTGCTTAACTATTTTAAAAAGCAATGTATAAAACTATAATAGAGAATATACAAATATATAATGTATATATTTTCATTGTTGGGCCTATAGAAATATATTACAAAAAAACAGCACAGAGGAGACAGATGGCAGCAAGGCTGTACTGAAATAAGGAATAACACCAAATGGTAACATGAGTCAGAGGAACAAAGAAAGAGAACTAGAAATGGTAAATAAGAGAGTTTATAGACAAAGTCTATAAATATTTATTTGATCTTTTTTCTTTTCTCAGATTTTTTAAAAAGAGAACAAATTATATAAACTAATAATGGGTTTGGTATGCATAAAAATAGTTCCAAAAGAGAAGAAATAGAGCTATGTAGAAATAACTTTTCTAAATCTCACTTGTATTAAGTTAGTGTAAACCTGAAGCAGATTATTGATAAGATATATATAATGCAAGCTTAGAGCAATCACTAAAGAAAATAAAACATTGTCATGAAGTATATTAAAAGGCCTATATACCAAAAACTAGTAGGATTTATCCCAGGATTTCAGGAGTGGTTCAACAAATGAAAATCAGTCAACATATTACACAAGATTAATAGAATGAGAGGGGAAAAAAAACATGATTATCTTAATTGTTGCTGAAAAAAAAAACATTTAACAAACTCCAGTAACCTTTCATGATTGAAAAACAAAAACACTCAATAAACTAGGAATAGAAGGGAACTTTCTCAATATGATAAAGGCCATATATGAAAAACCTGCAACTAACATCATACTCAATGGTGAAAGCTTCTTCCGTAAAATAAGAAACACAACAAGTATGCCCAGTTTTACCACCTCTATTTATCATAGTACTGGAAGTTCCAGCTAAAGTCATTAAGCAAGAAGAAGAAATAAAAGGCATCCAAATTTCAATAGAAAGGCTATCTCTCTCTCAGATTACCTTATCTTATATGTAGAAAACTCTTCAGAAAATAAAAGCTGTTAAGAGAAAATAAATAAATTCAGCAAAGTTGCAGGATACAAAATTAACACCAAAAATTTGGTTGTATTTCTCTACACTAGCAATGAAAAATCTGAAAGTGAGATTAAGGAAACAATTCCATTTGCAATATCATCAAAAAGAATAAAAAACTTAGAAATAAACTTAACTGAGAAAGTGAAAGACTTAGACATTGAAAACTATAAAACGTTGTTGAAAGAGATTAAAGAAAGAACTAAATAGATGGAAAGACATTCCATATTCATGAATTGGAAAACTTGAGATTATTAAAATGACAATACAACCCCAGCAGATTCAATCTAATTCTTATCAGAATCCCCAAAGCACTTTTTATACAAATGAAAAAGCCCCTATCAATATTTAAATAAAATTTGAAAAAGCCCAGAATAAGCAAAACAATTTTACAAAAGAACAAAGTTGGAGGATTCACCCTTCTTGACTTCAAAACTTACTATAAACTACATTATTCAAAACAATGTGGTACTGAATGAGGATAAACCTATAAATCAATGGAATAGAGCTGAGAGGCCAGAAATAAACCTACATACATACAGTCAATTGATGTTTAACATAGTCTTTGTCAAGATCATTCAGTAGGGAAGTAACAGTCTATTCAACATAAAGGTAGGAAAAGTGGATGTTCACATGCAAAGATTGAAGTTAGACCCTTACCAAAATTAACTCAAAATGAATCAAAGTTTTAAATCTAAAAGCTAAAACTATAAAATTTTTAGAAGATATATAGGCAGATCTTCATGATCTTGGATTTGGCAGTGGTTTTTTAAAAATCACCCCAAAAGCACGGGCAACAACAACAACAAAAATAGATTATTTGGACTTTATAAAATTTAACAACTTCTGTGTATCAAAGAACACTATCAAGAGAGTAAAAAGACAATCCACAGAATGTGATAAAATATTTGCAAATTATGTATCTGATGGAGGTTCACTATCTAGAATATGTTAATAATTTCCACAACTTAACAACAAAAAGTCTAATTGGACAAAGGACTTGATGAGACATTTCTCCAAAAAGATATACAAAGAGTCAATAATCACATGGAAAGATGATACTCGACATCATTAGTTATTAAAGAAATGCAAACGAAAAGTATAATGAGCTGCCTCTTCAAACCTACTAGATTGACTATAAAAATAAATAAATAAATAAATAAAAACAGAAAATAACAAGTTTTGGCAAGAACCTAGAGAAATTGGAACTCTCTTTTGTTACTGGTGGGAAAGTAAATGCCACAGCCACTGTAGAAATTGATTTAGAGTTAACTCAAAATAGTTAAACATAGAATTACCTTCGAACCCAGCAATTCCACTTCTACATATATAACCAAAACAATTGAAAACAAGAACTCAAGCAGATACTTGTATACAAATGTTCATAGTAGCACTAATCACAATAGTGGAAATAATACAAGTGTCCGTCAACACATGAATTGATTAAAAAATGTAGTGTATACATATAATGGTATATTGTTCAGCCATTAAAAGGAATGAGGTTCTGATACATGATACAACATTAATTAACATAGAAGACATTATGCTAAGTGAAATAAGCCAGACCCAAGAGGGCAGATATTATATAACTTCATGTTTACTAGATATCAATAGACAAATTTGTAGAGACAAAGTAGATTCAAGGATACCAGCAGCTGAGATGAGGGGGCAATGGAGAGTTATTGCTTAATGAATACAGTTTAATTTTGGGATGATGAAAAATTTTGGATATCAAAAGAGGTGATAATTGCACAACATTGTGAATTTAATTAATGCTACTGAATTTCATATTTTAAATGGTTAAGTGGCAAATTATATATTATATATATTTTACCCCAAAGTATAGTGAAATCAAGAAAGAAATTAAAATGTTACACTCCAAAATATCCACCAACACAAAATAATAAGTCAGAAGGAAAGTGACAAGAAAACAAATGAAACACATAGAAAAAGAAAAAGAAAATGGCAGATGTAAATCTAACTGTATCAATAATAATATTAAATGTTCATCGATTGAGCAATCCAATCAAAAGACAAATATTGTCAGAATGGATAACAAAAGAAATCTTAACTATATGCTGTCTAAGGACATACAATTTAGATTGAAAGGGGTAATTTAGTTGAAAATAAAAGAAGGGAAAACATGTACCATGCAAAGAGTAACCCTAGAGAGCCAAAGGGACTATACTAATACCAGAAAAAATAAACTCTAAAACAAAAGGTGCTACTAGAAATAGGGAAACTTATATAATGATAAAAAGTTAATTCCCTCAAAAAGATATAACAATTACAAACTTATATGCAGTTAATAATATAGCCCCAAATTGCATAAAGAATACCTGACAGAACTGAAAAGAGAAATAGAAAAACCAGGAATAAAACCTGGAGGATTCAATACTTCACTTTCAATAAAGGATAGAATAATTACTCAGAAGATTACCAAGAAAATAGAGTTGAAAAAAATAAAAACGCAATCATTCTAACACACATCTGTAGAACACACCACTTAACAATAGCAGAATGTATATTCTTCTCAAGTGTTCATGGAACATATTCTAGGTTAGACAACATGCTACCTGTAAATCAAGCCTCAACACATTTAAAAGGATTGAAATCATATGAAGGGTCTTTTTAAAACACAATGAGATGAAATTAATAACATAAAGAAATTGTGGAATATCACAAATATGTGGAAATTAAACTATACACTCCGAAATCAAAAGGGAAATTAGAAAAGGTTTTGAGATAAATGAAAGCAAAAATACAACATTACTAAAACATATAGTAACACAGCTAAAGCAGGGTTTAGAGGGAATTTTAAAGCTGTAAACATCAATATTTAAAAAGAAAAATGGTTCCCAAATAAAAAACCTGACCTGCCACCTTAAGACACTGAAAAAAGAAGAGCAAACTAAATCTAATGTAAGGAGAAACAGGAAATAATAAATAAAACAGGAGAAATTTCTCAAATGGATAATATAAAAGTGACAGAAAAAATTAACCAAACCAAAAGTCAGTCCTTTAAAATTGTTAACAAAATTGGCAAACCTTTAGTACAACTGACCAAGAATAAAAGAGATGATTCAAATTACTAGAATGACATATGAAAGAGTGATATTACTACCAACCTTACAGAAATAACATGGATTGCAAGAGAATATAAACAACTGTATGTTGAAAAAAATTACATAACTTAGATAAAATGGACGAATTCCTAGGATGACACTAACTACAAAATTAACACAAACTACTACTTCTGTTTCAAGAAGGAGGAGAAAATATAAATTGGCCTATAACAATAAAAGGAATGCCTTAATAATATTAAAATACCACAGAAAGTAAAGCCCAGGTCCAGATGGTTTCAAACAATTGATGCTATCAACTATCAGAATATATCAACTATTTAAAAATATATCAACTATTTAAATAAGAAGTATTAATTCTTCAAAACTCTTCCAAAAAATAAAAGAGAAAGGAGCATTTTTCAACTTATTCTGTAAGGTCAGTATTTCCCTAATACCAAAGCCAGACATAGATATACCAGTATATATATTTTAAATCTACAGACCAATATCATTTAAGTAGATAGATGTGAAAACCCTGAACAGAGTATTACCAAAGCAAATCCAGTCACATATAAAAATGACTATACATCAAGACAAAGTGGAAATGATCCCAGAAATGGAAAGTTGTTTTAACAGCTGAAAATCAATTAATATAATATACTATATCTTAGAATAAAGGACAGAAACACATGATAGGCTCTACTGATGCAGAAAAGTCATTTGATAAAATCCAACATCCTTTCATGAATTTTTGTTTAAATTCAGTAAACTAATTATAGACGATAACTTCCTCAGTCTAACAAATGGTATTTTTGAAAAACTCATAGCTAAAATTATATTTAATTTTAAAGACTGAATTTTTTTTCCTAAGATCAAGAATGAGACAAGAATGTATACTCTCACTAGTTCTATTCAGCATTGTACTAGAGGTTCAGGCCAGACTGATTAGGCAAGAAAATGAAAAAAAAAAAAAAAGAAGAAAAACATCCAAATTAGAAAGGAAATAAAACTATCTCTATTTGAGGATGACATGATTTTTTATATAAAAAAATCCCAAAGAATCTACTTAGAACAATTAAAACTAAAACCAAGTTCAACAAAATTGCAGAATGCAAAAACAATATACAAAATCAATTGTATTTCTACAAATTAGCTGTGAACCATCTGAAAATAAAACCAATAAAACAATTTTATTTACAGTAGCATCAAAAAGAATAACATACATAGCAATACATTTAACAAAAGAAATGGAAAACACACTGAAAACTATAAAGCATTGAAAGAATTTAAAGGTAAATAAATGGAGAGATATTTCATGTCATGGATTGAATAATTAATATAAATAAAATACCAGTGTTCTCTAAAGTAATATACAGATTCAGTACAGTTTCAATCAATATCCCAGCTGGCTTCTTTCCTGAAATTGACAAGCTGATTTCATATGAAAATTTAAATGATGCAGAATAGCCAAAACAATCTTTAAGAAGAAGAAATTTGATAGATTCACACTGCCCAATTTCTAAACTTAATGTAAAGCAGTATATAACTGGCCTAAGACTAAACAGATAGCTCATTGGGATAAAATTGAAAGTCCAGATAGATACCTCGCCATTTATGGTCAATGGATTTTACAAGAGTGCCAGGACAACCCAATGGGAAGAAGTAGTCTCTGAGACTACTGAGTATACATGCACATGCAAATGAATGAAATTAGACCTCTATCTCACACATACATAAAAATGTACCAAATAGACCTCAATGTAAGAACTAAAACTATAAAACTGTTAAAACATGGGAGAACAAAAGAGAAGATAACCCACAGAATGGAAGAAATTATTGCAAATCATGTCTCTTATAAGGGTCTAGTATTCAAATTATTTAAAGAGCTTTTACAACTGAATAAGATGCCGTGTGTGGTGGCTCACACCTGTAATCCCAGCATTTTGGGAGGCCGAGGTGGGCAGATCACGAGGTCAGGAGTTCGAGACCATCCTGGCTAACACAGTGAAACCCCATCTCTACTAAAAATACAAAAAATTAGCCGGGCGTGGTGGCGGGCGCCTGTAGTCCCAGCTACT